>NC_000001.11:49705350-49856865 GCF_000001405.40 Homo sapiens | reverse complement strand
TCCAGTACCATGTTGAGTAAGAGAAGTGAAAGTGGGCATCCTTGTCTTGTTCTGTTCTTAGAGGAAATACTTTGAGATTTTTCGTATTCAGTATGATGTTACAGTGGGTTTGTCATATATTGCCTTTATTGTGTTGAGATATGTTCTTTCTGTAGCTAATTTGTTAAGAGCACTTACATGAAGGGATGATGATGAATTTTATGGAGTGCATTTTCTTTATCTATTAAGGTGATCATACAGTTTTTGTCCTTCATTCTGTTGATGTGTTATATCACATTTATTGATTTTTGTATGTTGAACCGTCCTTGTATCCCTGGGATACATTCCACTTGAGCATGGTGTATATCCTTTTTGATGTGCTGTTGGATTCAGTTAGCTAATATTTTGTTGATAATTTTTGATTCTATGTTCATTAGAGAAATTGGCTTATTGTTTCTTGTTGTTTCCTTCTCTGGTATTGGTATCAAGGTAATGCTGTTTTTATAGAATGAGTTAGAAAGAATTCTCTTTCACTTTTTGGAATAGTTTGAGAATTGATATTGGTTCTTTTTAAAAAGTTTGGTAGATTTCAGAAGTACAGCCATTTGTTCCTGTGCTTTCTTCATTGGGAAGTTTTTAAAATTACTCATTCAATCTTACTACTCATTATTAATCTGTTCAGGTTTTCTATTTATTTCTGGTTCAGTCTTTATAGGTTATATATATTCACAAATTTATACATTTTTCTCTTGGTTTTCCAATTTGATAGCACATGGTTGTTCATAATAGTCTCTAGTGGTCCTTTGTATTTCTATGGTATCAGTTGTAATGTCTTTTTTTTATTTCTGATTTTATTTATTTGAGTCTTCTCTCTTTGTATCGTTTAGCTAGCTAGCAGTTTATCGATTTTATCTTTTCAAAAAACCACCTTTTAATTCTGCTTATCCTTTGTATTTTTTTAGATTCTATTTTGCTTAGTTCTGCTTTGATCTTTATTATTTATTTTCTTCTACTTATTTTGCATTTGGTTTATTTGTGCTTTTCTACTTTCTTGATGTGCAGCATTACATTGTTAAAATCTTTCTGCTTTATTGATGTAGTAATTTATTGTTGTGAAATATCCTTAGCACTGCTTTTGCTTTATCACGTAGGTTTTTGTATGTTGTGTTTGCTTTTTCATTTGCTTCAATAAATTTTTAAATTTTTCTTCTTAATTTTTTTCATTGATCCAATGGTAATACAGGAGCATGTTGTTTAATTGCTGTCTATTTTTACAGTCTGCAGAGATCCTCTTGTTATTCATTTCCAGTTTTATCCCATTGTGGTCTGACAAGATATTTGATATGATTTTGATTTTTTGAAATTTCTTGAGACTTGTTTTGTGACCGAACATATGATCTGTCCATGAAACTGTTCCATGTGCTGATAAGAAGAATGTGTATTCTGCAGCTTTTGGATGAAATGTTCTGTAAATGTCTGTTATGTCCATTTGGTCTATCGTGCAGATAATTTGTTGATTTGCTTTCTATATGATGTGTCCAATGCTGAATGTGGGGGTTTTGAAGTTTCCCACTATGATTGTATTGGGGTTTATTTCTCTCTTTAGCTTTAATAATATTTGCTTTATATATCTGGATGTTCTGGTGTTGGGGGCATATATATATATTTGTTATATCATCTTACTGAATTGATCTCTTTATCATTACATAATAACCTTTTTGTTTGTATTTGTGTTAGTTCATTCTCATGCTGCTAGGAAGAAATACCCCAGACTGGGTGATTTCTAAAGAAAAGAGGTTTAATTGACTCACTGTTCCACATGGCTGGGGAGGCCTTAGGAAACTTACAATTATGGCAAAAAGCACCTCTTCACAGTGCAGCAGGAGAGAAAATGAGTGCCAGTTGGGGAAATGCCAACCATCTATAAAACTGGATGACATACATAGGCAGGCTTGTTCTCAAGCTCTCTGATGGTGCATTCAGGTTTGCAGTGGCCCTTCAACTGGAGGAGTGTTGTTTCTGTTTATGGCAGTGTCCCAGGGAAGATGGTTTTCAGGCTCTGGGAACTGTGCATTTTGGCTTCCTTTGTCCTGTGGGTAGCCTCCCTGGTGTGCTATACTGTCTATTTTAGGGGATTTAGGGCACTATATGGCTACAGTGCTGGGGGTCCAGATGTATTGCTGGGTCCAGCAGGCATCATAATGCTGCAGCCCTCTGGTTGGATGTGGGAGGATGTCCTTGGGGCTCCAGGGATGTGGAGGTGCAGGAGCAGCTGGGCCCCAGGGTAAGAGGTAGTCTGATGGGGGATTAGTTCTCAAAATGGTGCCATGTTGCACCTGCTTAGGCTTCAGGGGGGTGAGTAGAACAGAGTGTGAGTTTCCTCTGTAGAACAATGCAATTGCAATGGACTCCATATGACTTTCTATGCTAGAGTCTCCTGTGGCTATTGCAGGCATCTGTGATGGGAATGTGCAGCACTGGGGATCTTTTACTTACCTTTCCTTTGCAGTGGGGAACTTCTTTTGGATCTGAGACAATCATGGATGGGCCAGTTGCTTCACTTCTCTCTCCTTTCATGCCTCAGATGGTCCCTGTCACTTCCCTGCTGAATTCCAATGTTCTCACTTAGGCACTTTATTTGATGTGTGGTTGTCTACTTGTTTTAGAGGGGCCTGACACTTGCCCCTTCCTTGTGAATGAGGGCAAGTGTCAGGCACCTATAGTCATCCATCTTCTTCTATCTTTTGTGCAATTTTTGTAATATATTTTACTTTTCCATATGGCATAAACAGACAATACATTGCTATTTTTTCTATAGTGATTTATCTTTTAGAGTGATTGAAAATAAGAAAATTTATATTTACCTTTATTTATATCATTTCTGGAGCTCTTAATTTCTTTGTGTGGATCTTAGTTTATATCTGGTATTATTTCCCTTCTGCCTGAAGAACTATTGTTGGCGTTTCTTACAACACAGGACTGTTGATAATAAATTATCTCAGCTTTTATTTTTCTTAAAATACCTTTAGTTTGTACTTCATCTTTGAAAGATATTTTCAGTTGGTATAAAATTTTACGTTGACTTTTTCCCAGTAATTTCAATATATCATTACCTTGACTTTTGGTTTGCACAGTTTATATATTTCAAAGAGAAATATGTATTTTTATCTTAGGTCATTTGTATGTGATTTATCTCTTTAAATATAACATAATTTTTAATAATATATTTATTCTCCTAGTTACTGTTTGGATTTGTACCTCAATATCTTTCATTAATTTTGGAAAATTCTCAGGTGTTATATCTTCAGGTATCTTTCTGCTTCATTCTTACTCTCATATCCTTGGGAATCCCAATTATACATATATTTTAGATTGGTTGATATTGTTCCACAGCTCTTGGATGCTCTGCTGTTTTTTCCCTTTTGCCTTTCCTATTTCCCTTTGCATTTATGTTTAGAATATTTTTATTGATCTAAAGTTTACTGATTTATTTTTCAGCTGTCCCAAGTGTACTGATGAATGCATTAAAGGCATTCTTCATCTCTATTACTGTGATTTTTGGTTTTATCATTTCCTTTTGTATTATTACTGTGGTTTCTGTCTTACTGATGAAATTTCCCATTTCTTCATGAATTTTGTTCTCATTTTCCACTACAGCCTTTAACATATTAAGCTTTATTTAAAAATCATTGTCTGATAATTCCAGTATCTGGTCATTTCTGTGTCTGGTCCTGCGTATCATTTTATCCCTAGACAGTAGGTTGTTTTTTCTTGATATTTTGGCTATGTCTCACAATTTTTTATTGAATACCAGAAGAGTAGAGAATACTACTGTTTTATAGTATTTACAGTACTTACAAATATTATTTGTTACTATAAATGGATATCTCTTTCCACCTCATTTGGGTGGGGGCTTGTGTCAACCTAGCTTGGAGTTCAGGTGTGTTTGAGTTTCTTTGTTGCTATGGTTATCTTCAGTTTCCAATTAGCTTCAAATTATTCTAGTGCTATTTTATTTTTGAGGGAAGGGGCTGGCTGGGGTGATTGAGTATTTAAGATGACCATAGCAACAGTGAAACTCAAACCTAGTTTATTTCCAGACTAGGTTGACACAAGCCCCTACACAAATGACCTGGAAAGAGGTATATCCATTTATAGTGATGAATAATATTTATAGTATTCTCTGGGAATGTTTCCTGCTGCTCCTTCAGGTGTAGAGGATTTTTCTTTTATTGTTCCTCTTCCTCTCACTTTTGCACTCAGGTGATAAGTTCGTTATTTCTCCCCTAGTCGTGTAAGGCTGTTTTTCCCATAAGAGACTTCATGCCTTTCCTATTACAGAAGTCTCTCCCCTTCTCTAGGCCTGTACCACAGAGGAAAACATTTTCTGGTCTACCTACTTGCCTGTAATCTTCCTTCTGAATACCTGGTAGAGACCTGTACAGCAGAGTCTTCAAATGGACGTGAATTCCCTGTGTGTCTATGACTCAGTAGTTCCACACTCTCATATTTCCTTATTTGATGTTTAATAATATTTAAAAATTAGCTTAGCTTTCTTACTCATTTGTATGGGACCCAGCATTACTTCTTCTTGTGCTCTGCCATGAAGGAGTCACTGCTTGCTTCCCATACTCTTTTTGGTGAGGCTTGACTTTCCTTCGATATTGGATTATTTAGCTGCTCTTCAAACTCAGCTCTCTGATAGATTTGGGAAAGTTATAATTTTGTACTTAATTGAGATATTTGTTGTTGTTAGGGTAGAAGGGATGCTCTTTCCATTTTTCTACATCTTAGGTGAAAGTGAAACTTCAAAAACTTTTAAAAATTAAAGTTCCTGTTAGGAAATAGAACTTCTATGCTAATTCAGTGTTTCTCAAATTGTTTCTGGTGGAGCATCTGGAAGTCATAATGCTATTTATAGAATGACTGCTTTATTCAAATTTAAACAATTGAATATATGTTTATGACAAATTATGTGAATTATTTATATATTAAATGGTTGATGCAATTTAATGAATATCTCTTGGATTTTGATAATGATAGTAGATATAGTTTATATACAATTCTAATACAACTTTGGAAGATGAGTTTACTGTTCACATTTTATGGATGAGAGGAACTGAAGTGTAAAGATACTAGGTTGATTGCTTTGGGGCATAGAGAATTAGCAGTTATTTGAGTTGAAATTTGACCCTATATCATTTTGTTTCAAAATGTAGCCTTTTTTCACTGTACCACAATGTGGTGTTAACTTCTTTTTGCTTGGGTTAACACTTGGTGACTAGGGAAGGGGTAATTAACAGTAAAAATCTGACTAGACTTCAATTGCCGAATATACTTTGACTTTTATTTCAATTTTTTTAAATAGGCAATGATATGGGAAATGATGATGCCATTGGAGGGAATGTGAGCAAATATATAGTGCTTCCAACTGGCTATTGTGGACAGCCCAAGAAAGGACATCTTATCTTTGATGCTTGCTTTGAAAGTGGTAAGTATATTAAAGGCTTTTCCTTTTAAGTTTGTCTGGTAAGGCATTTCTTTTTTCAGAATTGAATTTTATGTGACCATTCAGTGCAATTCAACTCATTTAATATTTCACAATAATGGGACAAGTTTTATGGGAAAAAATTTTGAAGGAACTAACTTGGGAATATCAAATTTTTGTTGTTATAAATGATTAAAAATATAATTGATGGTAATATTAACAAATGCTTACATAGTAGCTTATATTTTAGAAACTACTTTCCAAGATATTATTTTTTTGGAATAAAACCCTCATGTTTGACTGTATTATCAATTACGATTTATTGAATAATATCTATCTAGTTCTGTATGACATGCTTACAGTAGAACTTAGTTTTAGGGGGAGAAGAGGCTTCCCTATAAAACAATTAGATAGCAGATTTAATTGAATACAAACTAAAGAGCAGAGGTAAAATTTCCTCGTAATTGGCAAATGCTGTGGGTGTTCTGATAGTGGAGATGAGGACTTGATTGTGTATTTTCATCCAGTAGGGACTAGGTCTTCTTTAGCCCTTGATGTTCTGAGCCTCATGCTCTAATTGTCACACAGTAGAGACTCAGAATATGTTGAAAATATTAGTGAGAAAGGTAAACATAATTTTATTTTACAAATAATTATTAATTTTCATTGGTTCTGAATAATGTGTATGCATGTGTGTGCATAAGTATGTGTATGTGTGGCTGAAGGGACATACCAATATCAGTTATATAATAGTTTTTTCTGAACCTTAAAAACATTGGTTGTTTATACCAAACAATTGAAAATTTGTTTATGCAGGGTGTTGCTCTTTGATTATGTCATATTGTATAGGTTTGATAAGGCTGATATAACAAAGTACTACGAAGTGGGTTAAACAACAGATGTTTATTGTTTCTTACTTTCACAGTACTCAGTTTGTCACAAAGTACCACAAACTGAGTGGATTATAAAACAGAAATGTATTGTCTCACAGTCCTGGAGATTAGAAGTCTGAGATTAGCAGGATTGGTTCCCCCTAAGAATTATGAGGAAGAATCTGTTCCATGTTTCTCCCCCTAGCTTCCTACAGGTTGTTAGCAATCTTTGGTGTTCCTTGGCTTACAGAAGCATCACTCTAATCTCTGCCTTCATCTGTACATGGTGTTCTCCCTGTATGTCTATATCCAAATTTCCACTTTTTACAAAAATGTCAGTCACAATGGATTGGGAACTACTTTAATGACCTTATTTTAACTTGATTACCTCTATAAAGATGCTAGGACTTCAACTTAGGAATTTTGAGAGGACATGATTCAGTCATTACGCAGTATTGTAGTATTGTACTTCCAACCAGACCTGAATACTGTCCGCATAATTAAGAACAATGGCTTTTTATTTTCTATAAATCTTGTACTAGTGCCTTGTCTTGTATGTACTTGATGCCTACATAATATCTTTGATTCTTTCTTATGTTAAAGACATAAGGACCCTTTACAATAATTACACCTCTGTGGGAATAAAGATTATCCTCATTTAAAAGATTAAATGTCTTGATTTACATACAGCCTGCAATAATTCAGATTCCTTTCTCATAACATCTTTTCTTTAACCCCACTGCAGTCTTCTTCCATCCTTTACAAAAAAACTCAGTAAAAGAAATTGTTCAATCTTACCATGTAATCACCAAATAAATAATGCATATTTTCCCAACAATTTATGAATAATTGGTTGTATCAGTTAGATCTATGCTAGTAATACATGAGACTTGCAGTAGAGTGGTTAAGTGGACAGATATTGGTTCAGGCTGTGGTTCAAATCTTGGCTTGACAAAGGAGCCAGTTTTCTTACATTTTATTGAGGGATGATACCTACTATCCATCTTAATGTATGTATGTGTGTGTGTGTGTGTGTGTGTGTGTGTGTATGTATACTTTGTTTAAAGATGTGAGCTTTCTTACCAGAATATACATAATAATAATAATAATAATAATAATAATAATAATAATAAATTAGATGAATGAGGACATCTTAGAAAGGGTAAATATTATTTAGGGCAAAGAAGACTCGTCAGAATTTAGAGTGTCAATGACCCTGGAGGGCCTTCCCACACATCCACATCCTGAGTTTCACAATCCCGTGTTTCCAAATCAATGCCCTCATGTTAACATATGCACTCTGCCAGGCTGGTGTTTAACTTGCCTTGTAATTCATTAAGTCACAGGATGAGGTTCTACATTTGATCTTCAGCAATTTCAGCCTTGCAGCCACAGAAAGTAAAGGTCTCCTTCAGGGTACACACAGAAGCTCTTAGGTTATTTATTAGGTGTTTATGCTGGGAGTTTGAATCCCTGAACTCATCCCCCCACCTTTTTTTAACCATGTTGTCCAGTAACATTGGGAGTAGCCAGCCAATGTCATTAAATTTTCAAAAATGTTTGATAGTATCATACACAAAGTCACATAGATCCTTGCTTCTTAAAAGTGATTGATTAGGAATATCTAGTGCAGTTATTTTGCATATCTCTATAAACATTTCATGCCATGGACTTTCTGCTGTTGGATATAACATCATTAGCACCTAAAGTTTTTTATTTGAATAAATTTAAGGGGTACAAACACAGTTTTGATACATTGATATATTGCGTAGTGGTAAAGTTTGGGCTTTTAGTGTAACCATTACCCAAATAATATACATTGTACCGACTAAATAATTTCTCATCTCTCATTCCCTGACCCCTCCTACCCTTCTGAGTCTCAAGGGGCTATTATTCCACGTTCTATATGTATACATATTATTTAGCTCTCACTTATAAATGAGAACATGTGTATTGACTTTCTGCTTTTGAGTTGTTTCACTTAGCATAATGGCCTCCAGTTCCATCCATGTTGCTGCAAAAGATATGATTTAATTCTTTTTATGGATGAATAGTATTCCATTGTATATCACATGTTCTTTATGCAATCCTGCATTGAGTGACATTTAGGCTGATTCCACATCTTTGCTATTGTGAATAGTATTGTAATAAACATTGGAGTGCAAGTAACTTTTTTACATAATGACTTCTTTTTCTTTGAGCAGATACCCAGTAGTGGGATTACTGGATTGAATGGTAGTTCTATTTTTAGTTCTTAGAAAAATATCTTTGAATTGAATGGTATTGAATGGTAGTTCTATTTTTAGTTCTTAGAAAAATCTCCATACTGTTTTCCATAGAGGTTGTGCTAATTTACATTCCCACCAACAGTTGATAAGCATTCTCTTGTCTCTGCATCCTCAACAACATCTATTATTTTTTTGCTTTTTAATAATAGTCATTCTGACTGGTATAAGATATCTCATTGTAGTTTTAATTGCATTTCTGTGATGCTTAATGATGTTGAACATTTTAAAAATATGTTTGGGCCAGGCATGGTGGCTCACGCCTGTAATCCCAGCAATTTGGGAGGCCCAGGCGGGCGGATCACGAGGTCAGGAGATTGAGACCATCCTAGCTAACATGGTGAAACCCCGTCTGTACTAAAAATACAAAAAATTAGTCGGGCGAGGTGGCGGGCGCCTATAGTCCCAGCTACTCGGGAGACTGAGGCAGGAGAATGGCATGAACCTGGCGGGTGGAGCCTGCAGTGAGCCGAGATCGCGCCACTGCCCTCCAGCCTGGGTGACAGAGCGAGACTCCATCTCAAAAAAAAAAAAAACAAGTTTATTTGCCATTTGTAATGTTCTTTTTTAAAAAATATTTATTCATGTCCTTTGCTTATTTTAATGGGGTTATTGATTTTGTTGTGGTTGTTGTTTGAGTTCCTTATAAATTTTGGATATTTGGATATCTACTTTTTTGTGACATTTTTGTAAAAATTGGATAAAATTTGGATATTAGTCCCCTGTCCGATGTATAGTGTGCAGATATTTTCTCCCAATTCTGCATGTTGTCTGTTCATTGTGTTGATTATTTCTTTTGCTGTGTGGAAGCTTTTTAGTTTAATTAAGTCCCATAGATCTATTTTTGTTTGTGTTGCTTATACTTTTGAGGCCTTAGTCATGAATTATTTGCCTAGACCAATGTCCAAAAGAGGTTTCCATAGTTTTTCTTATAGTATTTTTATAGTTTTAGGTCTTACATTTAAGTCTTTAATCCATCTTGAGTTGATTTTTGTGTATGCCAAGAGATAGGAGTCTAGTTTCATTCTTCTGCAGGTGGCAATCCAATATTACCAGTACCACTTATTGAAAACAATGTCCTCTTCCCAATGTATGTGTAGTTGGCTGGAGATAGGTGGCTTTATTTCTGGGTTCTCTATTCTTTAATTGATGTTAATTGTCTATTTTTAAACCAGTACCATGCTGTTTTGGTTAATAAAGCCTTGTAGTATGTGTAATTTGATGCCAGATAATTTGATATCTCCAGCTTTGTTGTTTTTGCTTAGAACTGCTTTGGCTATTTGGGCTCCTTTGGGTACAATATGAATTTTAGGATTGCTTTATCTAGTTCTGTTAAAAATAATGTCAGTATTTTGAGAGGGATTGCATTGAATCTGTAGCTTGCTTTGGGCAGTGTGATCACTTTAACAGTATTAATTCTTCTGCTCCATGAGTATGGGATGTTTTTTCATGTGTTTATGTCATCTATATTTTTTTCATCCGTGTTTTGCAGTTTTTCTAGTAGAAATCTTTCATCTCCTTGGTTACATGTATTCCTAGATATTTTATTTTTTTGTAGTTGTTGTAAATGGGGTTGCCTCCTTGAGTTGTTTCTCAGCTTGGTCATACACCTATCATGTAACCACAAAGATTGAAATTAAAATATTTAATAGGTGTATATATTTATGGAGTACATGAGATACTTCTTTCCTTCAGTGGATTGTCTCTTCACTTTTGTATTAGTCTGTTTCCACCCTGTTGATAAAGACATATGTTTCTCATGTGTATGATTGGGTCAAATCTAGAAAGGGATGAGCTATGTCTTAAGGTCTTCCTATGTCCCCAGCACATGTGGAGTGGGTTTATCCAGTGTGAGTTCTCTGGTGCTTGGTAAGGGAGGTGCTGTGTGTAAAGGTCTTTCCATAGTCCCTGCATGCATATGGCTTCTCTCCTGTGTGGATCCTCCAGTGCTGTGTGAGGTGGGTGCTCTGCCTAAAGGACTTTCCACAATCGTGACACTCATAAGGCTTTTCCCCAGTGTGTGTCCTTTTGTGCTGGCTGAGTGAGGAGCTGTGGTTGAAGGATTTCCCACACTTATTGAACCCATAGGGCTTTTCCTTGGTATGAATCCTCTGGTGTTTGATGAGAAGGGAGCTCTGGCTACACTGGTTACATTCATAGGGTTTCTCTCCTGTGTGGATCCTCTGATGCTGAATGAGGGGAGCAAGCTGACTGAAGGCTCTGCCACACTGGTTGCATTTGTAGGGCTTCTCCTCAGTGTGGTTTCGCTGATGTTTGGTGAGGGACAAGCTGTGGCTGAATGCCTTGCTGCAGTCATTGCATTTGTAGGGCTTCTGCCCTGTGTGGATTTGCTGGTGTGTGAGGTTTGTGCTCTGCCAGAAGGAAGGCCTTCCCACACTGACTGCAGTCGAACGGCTTCTCTCCTGTGTGCATCCGCTCCTGCTGGCTAAGTGAGGAGCCGTGGCTGAAGGTTTTCCCACACTCGTTGCATCCATAGGGCTTCTCTCCCGTGTAAATCCTCTGATGCTCAGTCAGGAATGTGCTCTGGCTGAAGGCTTTCCCAGACTCACTGCACTCACAGGGCTTTTCTCCTGTGTGGGTCCTCTGGTGCTGAATCAGTGGTGTGATCTGGGTGAAGGCTTTTCCACACTCATGGCACTCGTAGGGCTTCTCCCCTGTGTGGATTTGCTGGTGTTTGGTCAAGGACTAGCTATGGATCAAGGCCTTGCCACACTCACCACACTGATAGGGTTTCTCCCCAGTGTGGATTCGCAGGTGCTGGGTGAGGTGGATGCTTTGCTGGAAGGCTTTCCCACACTTGTTGCACTCATAGGGCTTCTTGTTTGTGTGAGTTCACTTGTGTTGGCTAAAGGAGGACATAAAACTGAAGGATTTCCCACATACACTGCACTCATAGGGTTTCTCGCCTGTGTGAGTTCTCTGGTGCTGGATCAGTGGGGCAATTTGGTTGAAGGTCCCCTCACACTGAGTGCATTTATAGGGTTTCTCCCCAGTGTGGATTCTCTGGTGTTTGGTAAGTGCCGAGCTGTTTCGGAAGACTTTTCCTCATTTGTGACATTCATAAGGTCTCTGTCCTGTATGCGTACGGTGGTGTTGGGTAAGTGCTGAGCTGTGACTAAAGGCCTTTCTGCATTCCTGACATTTGTAGGGTTTCTCTTTTACATAGGTTTTCTGTAGAGCATTTAGGTCTGGCTTCTCCCTTTTTCCACGTGTTCCCCACGTGTGGGGGCCTTGTTGTTCAGGAGTCATTGGTTGATGTAGGAAATCAGGGTTCAGACTTCTGTTTTCCCCAAACCCATTCCTCTGTCACTGCTCCTGAACAGGCATCTTCAAAGGCATCAAGGCTGCCAGCACTGCCAGGCTCTCTAGGCTCTCACAACTCCATTCCCAGTGGCCCACAGTGTCTTCACCCCTGCAGTACCACAGACCATCCCAGAGGAATCTTTCTACCAAGATGACATTGTTGGATATTTCTTCAGAGATACGTTGCTTTAGAACTGACAGTTTGACTTTGGGTCTAGTTTCCAAGTCTGAAAGAAGCAAAAACTGGAAATGTCCCTTAATCTCTGTTCCAGGGCAAAAGAGTTTGTGGTGAGATGGGAAGAGGAAGGATGAAACTAATGATTTTGAAATGTTCAAGGTGCAAGTGGCTTTGACTATTTAAAAATATAGTTTTGCAAACCAGGAAAGGAAGAGAGAGAGGGAAAAACAGAATAAGGAAGAGGAAAATAAGGAATAAGGAAAGGAAGAGGAAAGAACAGAATAAGGAAAGGAAGAGGAGAGGAAGGGAAAAACAGTTGGCACAAGGAATATGGGTAGAGTCTGTGAGGGGAGCACAGAGGAGGGTGCAGAGGGGATGCCCAGGGAGAGAGCACTCAGATGCACAGATGCACTGGACTTGGAAGGAGCAATGTGGCAGCCAGGCCCCAGCTACAGTGGCCTCCATGATGCCAGGTGGCAACAGAGAAAAAGGTGCTGCATGGGGAAAGTCTGCTGACACCCAGCTTCTTCCTGGCAGCATATGCTGTTGTGCCATCTCACTCTAGATGTAAAGGAGCCTATCTGCTTCCCACAAACAGGAATAGCTGCAACATGCATCACTAGGAGGAAGATAAATGACCCTTGGTGTATTAAAGTACTTTGATCTGCCTTATTTTGTCTGTTTCACTAAATGGGAACCCCCTGAGAGTAGGAGTTTCTGTCCACCTTGCTCACCACTGTATCTCTATCCCATAGCAAGACCTCAATATACATGCTTAATGAATGAACAAATGCACTCCTTCCTCCTGCTTCCTGGCAGGACTCCCTTTTTGCCCTGCTACCCAGCCATCTCTGCACAGCCATGACCTGGGTGCATGCTGCCCCTACCCTGACCCCACAGTGGCCTAGAGGGGTGATGTGGGTACCTTCCCCATATTGTTATACTTCAGTGAAAAGTTCAATTTTTAAAAAAAAGGTAAGCCAGGGGTGACTGGCAGAATAGTGGCTTCCCAAGATGCCCACATCTTAACCATAGAACCTGTATGTTTCCCATTACATGGGAGGGAGGAATTAACATTGCTAATCAGCTGACATTAAGATAGAGAAATTATACTGGATTATCTGAGTGGACCTGTGTAATCACAAGTGTCCTTAAATGTGGAAAAGAGGCAGAAGGGTCACAGTCAGAGTGAATAAGATGTGAGACTTGACCACCCCTTACTGACTGTGAAGATGGACAAGGCCATAGCCAAGGAATGTGGGTGCCTCTAGAAGCTGAAAAATGCAAATAAATGGATTCTTAGCCAGGCACAGGGCCTCATGCCTGTAATCTTAACACTTTGGGCAGCCATGGCAGGAGGACTGCCTGAGCCTGGGAGTTCAAGACATGCCTGGGCAAAATGCTGAGTCCCCATCTCCACACACACACACACACACACACACAAAATTAGCTAGGCATGGTGACACACACCTGCAGTCCCAGCTACTCAGGAGGCCGAGGCAGGAGGATCACCCGAGCCCAGAAGGTCGAGGTTGCTGTGAACCATGCTCATACCACTGCACTCTAGCCTGGGCAAGAGAGCAACACCCCGTCTGTTATTGATGTGGAGGGACCCTAATGTGACCCTCTCCCACATTGGCCATTCCTCCTGGACTCTGGTGACAGGCCACTCTTCCCACCTGATGCCAATGGGAAATTGCCTGTCAGTGGGCTGGGATATCTCTGCTACCTATCAATCACCCTACAGGCACATGTCAGGGCCCAGCCTGGATCCATTGTCCCACAGACATATGAATTATAAACAATTATTTGGTTTAAGCCACTGAGGTCAGAGTGCTTTTACTATGCGAGAACTGACTGATGCATCACTTCAGGCCTTTGCACCTGCTGTTTCCTCTGCCTGAAATGCTAGTATTCTCTCAGACTGCCTCATGGCTCAGGCTTCAAGTCACATGTCACCTCCTTAGAGAGGCTATCCCTCATCTCTCTGCTAAAGTCTCCTCACCCCCATCCTAGTCTACCTCATCACTCATTTTCATTTTCTCAGCATTCATCACAATCTGTAATCATCCAACTCATTTTATTATTATTATTATTTTACCGATTTATTGTTTGTCTCCCCCACTCCCTCACCAAGAATGTAAATTCAGTGGAGATGAGGACTTGGTGTCGTCACTCACAGCAAAATGGGTGCTTGGTAAATCTTCACTAAGACTGAGTAGTAAATTTGCTGTGAAGAATTAAGACTGAGTAGTAAATTTGCTCTGAAGAATTAGAGAGCACATGCAGACAGAGAAACCAGGGAGCAAGCATGGACAGGCTTCTCTCAGCCCTGAAGGGCTCCCATCTCACCTGGGTACATGCCTTGGGGAACTCCAGAGTCCACCGCCCATGGCTCTGCCTCTTGCTCCAGCAGGGAGGTGATGTTTGGCTTTGGTAACCAATGTCCTACAGAGACCAGAAGCCTGAAGGCGTCCAGCATTACATCATAGTACAGGGCCCTCTGGGCAGGCTCCAGCTGCCTCCACTCCTCCTGGCTGAAGTCCACCACCATGTCCTCAAAGGTCACATGCTCCTCCAATGCAGTGTGGGTGGTCCTTTCAGAGGCAGAGGCTGTGGTTGGGGAGCTTGGCGCGGACTTCAGGAGGTCGGGCATGCAGGTAGAGGGCAGGCATGAGTAGAGGCTGGGCACAAGGAGGAGGCTGCACGTGAATATGGGCTGGGTGCAAAGAGGAGGCCGGGTGTGAGGAGGAGACTGTGTGCAAGGACGAGGCCAGGTACGAGGTGGAGGACACGCTCGAGGAGGCCGAGATTCTCACTGGGTCTGTGGAGACAGGCAGCCCAGGGGTCATGCCCTGGCTTCTGGCAGGAATGGCTGCCCCTGCTCCGCCTGACTGTGAGACAAAGGCCGTGGTGCCGGTGGGATTTTTTTTTTTTTTTATCACATTGTCAGACTGCAAATTTTCTGAACTTTTATGCTCTGCTTCCCTTATAAAACTGAATGCCTTTAACAGCACCCAAGTCACCTCTTGTATGCTTTGCCGCTTAGAAATTTCTTCTGCCTCTATTTTCTATTCTGTTCCATTGATCTCTGTGTCCGTTTTAGTACCAGCACCATACTGTTTCGGTTACTGTAGCCTTAGAGTATAGTTTGAAGTTAGATAGTATGATTTCTCCAGCCTTGTTCTTTTTTCTTAGGATTACTTTGGGTATTTGGACTCTTTTTTGGTTCCATATGAATTTTATGATTTTTTTCTAATTCTGTGAAAAATGATGTTGGTAATTTGGTTGAAATAACATTGAATTTGTAAGTTGTTTTGGACAGTATGGCCATGTTAATGATACTGATTGTTCCAATCAATGAGCATGGTATGTCTTTCCATTTATTTGTGTCATCTCTGATTTCTTTCAGCAGTGTTTTGTAGTTGCCTCAGTTAACCAGTTGTTTAAGCTGTAGTCCTGTGTATTTCATTTTTTTGTGGCTAGTGTATAATAAATGGAATTGTGTTCTGGATTTGATTCCCATTCTGGATGCTTATTGGTTTATAGAGATGCTACTGATTTTTGTATGTTGATATTGTGAAACCTTGATAAAATAGTTTGTCAGGTTTAAGAGCCCTTTGCTGGAGTCTCTAGGGTTTTCTAAGTATACAGTCATATTGCAAGTGACAAAACATAGTTTAATTTCTTCTGTTCCTGTTTGGATGCCTCTTATTGCTTTCTCTTGCCTGACTGCTTTGGCTAGGACTTCTAGTACTATGTAAAATAAGAGTGGTGAGAGTGGGCATCCTTGTCTTGTTCCATTTCTTAATGTGAATGCTTCCGGCTTATTCCTATTCAGTATGGTGTTGGCTATAGGTTTGCCAGAGACGGCTCTTATTATGTTGAGGTATGTCTGTTTGATAACAAGTCTGCCTGTTGAGGGTTTTTATCATGAAGGGATATTGGATTTTATGGAAAACTTTTTCTTTCTCTATTGAGATGGTCATATGATTTTTGCTTTTAATTCTGTTCATGTGGTAGATAACACTTATTGACTTCATCCTGGGAATAAAGCCTGCTTGATTGTGGTGAATTAGCTTTTTGATGGGCTGTTGGATTCAGTTTTCTAGTATTTTGTTGAGAATTTTTGTGTCTGCATTCATTGGCGATATTGACCTGAAGTTTCCTTTCTTTGTCATGTCTGTGCCAGTTTTTGGTACTAGGCTGAGAGTGGCTTCATAGAATGAGTTAGGGAGGAGTCCCTCCTTCTCAGTTTTTTGGAATAGTTTCACTAGGATTGATACTAGTTATTAAATCTATACAAACCATCAATGAAACCATGGGTTCATTTTTTGAAAGAGTAAACAAGATCGATAGACTGCTAGCTAGATAAACAAAGAAAAAAATATCCACTTAAGTACAATCAGGAATGACAAATACAACATTACAACTATTCCCACAGAAATACAAAAATCCCCAGAGACTACTATGAACAACTTTATGTAAACCAATTAGAAAGTGCAGAGTAAATGGTTAAATTCCTGGAAGCACACTATGTCCCAAGATTGAATCAGAAAGAGATTGAAATTCTGAATAGACCAATATTGAGTTCTGAAACTGAATCAATAATAAAAAGACTACCAACCAAAAAAAAACCCTGGACCAGACATATTTATAGCCAAATTCTACCAAATGTACCTATGTCCACACTCTGAATCTGGCTTGTGTGTATCTCCCTGTTTGTTGGGTTCCTCTCTATAATCTCACCCTTTATCACAGCTCTGTCTTGTGGATCCTCCTGAATTATATGTATTGCTGCCCTGTTTGTTTTACTACCCCAAAATTTTTGTCCTGACCAGTGGGTTTAGCTTCTTGTCCCTCGTGGAATTTCCCTCATAGAATTATAATAGGAGAAAGTATTGTACAATGCATTCTTGTTTCCCTCTTTTTGTAATTAAATGGATGATTGTAATATATCACAACACCTAAATGTATGAGGATAATATCTCACAACTGTTTTAACCCTGTAGCTTCTATCCTATATAAGGTCCTCAACATGGGTCCCCTTGGACTTGTACAACAGCTTTCTAACTACTCCACCTCTCTCTGGTCCATGCTCCACTATGCAACCAAAGTTAAAATGCAAATAATCTGATTATATTACATTATTCCTCAAAATCTGTCATGGCTCCCCATTGTTTTCAGGATAAAATCCAAATGCTTTCATTTGATGACCTCTTTAACATGAGATCTGATAGAAATTTCATTTTTACTAATACTGTTACTTTATGCCAGAACATGCCACCTTATAAGGCCATTATCTCATTTAGAGAAAAAATAGGACATTTAGGAGGAAAAAAGCATGGTTATTAAATATAAAGGAGAGTTTCACTATGTCTAGAAATTCTGCTGGAGAAATATTGGTAACTCTGTAACTGTAGACCAAAAATTTAATTCTGTTCCTTGTTTCTGACTCATAATTGAAACAAATCTGAACTTCTATTATAATATAGTTTTAATTTGTTTATAAGATTACTGACCTCCTTACTGAATTATATTTTGATATAACAGTTATGTATCTACTGGTATATATTTTTCTTTCCTATTTTCTCTGCTTTCTTAACAAGGAGGAATTGAAATATTTCATTCCCAAATAATTTTCCTCTAAGAATGATGGTATTTTCTATAGTAACAGCTAAACTTAAAGGCCTTGGAAAGCACAATTGAAGAAATATGAATTGGGCATATTGAAACCTGTTTGCATGCCTCTTCAACTGCTCTTTTCAAGTAATCTGAGAAACAGCTTTGAAGGGGACTTACGATGCACATAAACCACCCTCTTATGCTTTAGTAGTAAAATAATCACAAAAGGAGACACATCATCTTATTAAATATGGTTGAGTTTTTTTTAAATAACAATTTAAGGTACCACTAGAATGATTATAGTATGTGTATGTATTAGTGTAAATTCTAAGACATAATTTTTCTAGTGATAACCAGAACATGATAATTTTCAGTTAAAATTTACTTTTTACTTACTGTTATTGCTTCTTCCCATTTGTAAATAACACTTGAAGAAATATTAACTAGCAAACTAGAATGTTATCTATGTTTTTATTCTTCATGCTCCATAAAATAATAATATTTTTATAATATACTTCAGTATTGAAAAATCTGTACAAATTATGGGTTATCATACAGCTTTCAAATTGAGTTGGCATCTGAAGGTTTAGGAATATCTTGTGCAGGTCATTTGACTATTTGCAATTAATTCCATTTTCCACCTTTGCTCTGTAGTGTTAGGGACAAAATTCTGAAAATCGCATTTCCCAGGCTTCGTTGTCAACTGGCTTCTAGCTACCTCAGCTAAGAGGAACCTCTTGCAGGTGTCTGTAGGGCAGGAAGAAGGAAGAAGCCTAGGTATTTCTTTTTCTTTCTCCTTTGGGTGGCATCTCCAGCAGTGGCTACACCTACATTCATGGTTTTGCCAAACAACTCCTTTCTTGTGATATCATCATTGTTGGATAGCCGGAGCTCTCAGGATATCAATAGCTTTTGTCTTTGCCCTTTTGTCTATGAGTACACTAGACACTTCTCACTGTTGTTAATCTCTGTGTTATTTTTTCCCACTCTCCCCATTTGGCCTTTTGGCTTTCCCAATAGTTGAGCAACTAGTTTCCCATAGTAAATTCCTTTTATTGAACTACCTGGCACGAGCTCTTTCACTGACCCATTTTTGATTCATTCCTGAATGTTGAGGGCAAGAAACCTTTCTCATTGATTCCCTGGGGTTACTATAAATGGTGGGGTTGGATCTTCACTCACCACCTTCTGCTTCCAATAGCTCAGGGCTATAGTAGTTGGCATGATTTGCTGAACCTTAGGAGAAGCTGTTTTTTTGTTTGTTTGTTTTGAGATGGAGTCTTACTCTGTCGCCCAGGCTGGAGTGCAGTGGCACGATCTCAGCTTACTGCAAGCTCTGCCTCTCAGGTTCACGCCATTCTCCTGCCTCAGCCTCCCGAGTAGCTGGAACTACAGGTGCCTGCCACCACACTTGGCTAATTTTTTGTATTTTTAGTAGAGACGGGGTTTCACTGTGTTAGCCAGGATGGTCCGATCTCCTGACCTCGTGATCCACCCGCCTTGGCCTCCCAAAGTGCTGGGATTACAGGTGTGAGCCACTGCATCTGGCCAGGAGAAGCTCTGTTTTAATTGTCATAGTTGACACTAGTGGAGCAGTGTGTTGCCAACCTTGCAATTTACTGAACTAGGTCATGCTTAATTATTTCATACCACCTTGGTGAATTGTGTTCATGACCAGTTTTTAACATTTTAAAATGGAGTTTATGTATACAGACTTAAGGGCTACACAGATTTTGGAAAGAGGGTTCTGGTCCCCTCACAGTATAAACAAAGCTGCCAGGAAGTTTGAACTGGTTGGAGCCAGTCGCAGCTCAGCAAAGTGGCTATAGCCAGACTGCATCTCTAGAATCCTCCTCTCTGGGCAGGGCATCTCTGAAAGAAAGGCCGAAGTCCCAGTCAGGGGCTTATAGATAAAACTCCCATCTCCCTTGGACAGAGCACCTGGGGGGAAGGGGCGGCTGTGGGCGCAGCTTCAACAGACTCAAACGTTCCTGCTTGCAGGCTCTGAAGATAGCAGTGGATCCTCCAGCACAGTGCTTGAGCTCTGCTAAGGGGCAGACTGCCTCCTCAAGTAAGTTCCTGACACCCATGACTCCTGATGGGGAGACACCTCATACAGGAGAGCTCCGTTTGGCATCTGGCAGGTGCCTCTCTGGAACGAAGCTTCCTGAGGAAAGAGCAAGCAGCAATCTTAGCTGTTCTGCAGCCTCCGCTGGTGATACTCAGGCAAATGGGTCTGGAATGGACCTTCAGCAAACTCTAGCAGACCTATAGCAGAGGGGCCTGACTGTTAAAAGGAAAACTAACAAACAGAAAGGAATAGCATCAACATCAACAAAAAGGACATCCACACAACAACCCCATCCGAAGGTCACCAACGTCAAAGACCAAAGGTATATAAATACACGAAGATGAGGAAAAACCAGTGTAAAAAGGCTGAAAATTCCAAAAACCAGAACACCTCTTCTCCTCCAAAGGATCATAACTCCTCGCCAGCAAGGGAACAAAACTAGACAGAGAATGAGTTTGATGAATTGACAGAAGTAGGCTTCAGAAGGTGGGTAATAATAAACTCCTCTGAGCTAAAGGAGCATGTTCTAACCCAATGCAAGGAAGCTAAGACTCTTGCAAAAAGGACAGAGGAATTGCTAAGTAGAATAATCAGTTTAGAGAAGAACATAAATGACCTGATGGAGCTGAAAAACACAGGACGAGAACTTTGTGAAGCATACACAAGTATCAATAGATGAATTGATCAAGCGGAAAAAGAATATCAGAGATTGAAGATCAACTTAATGAAATAAACCATGAAGACAATATTAGAGAAAAAGAATGAAAAGGAATGAACAAAGCCTCCAAGAAACATGGGACTATGTGAAAAGACCAAACCTATGTTTGATTGGTATACCTGAAAGTGATGGGGAGAATGGAACCAAGTTGGAAAACACACTTCAGGATATTATCCAGGAGAACTTCCCAACCTAGCAAGACAGGCCAGTATTCAAATTAGGAAATACAGAGAACACCACAAAGATACCCCTCGAGAAGAGCAACCCCAAGAAACATAATCGTCAGATTTACTAAGGTTGAAATAAAGGAAAAAATGTTAAGGGCAGCCAGAGAGAAAGGTTGGGTTACCCACAGAGGGAAGCCCATCAAACTAACAGCAGATCTCTCTGCAGAAATCCTAGAAGCCAGAACCAGAAGAGGGTGGGGGCCAATATTCAACATTCTTAAAGAAAAGAATTTTTAACCCAGAATTTCATATCCAGTCAAACTAAGCTTCATAAGTGAAGGAGAAATAAAATCCTCTACAGATAAGCAAATGCTGAGAGATTTTGTCACCACCAGGCCTGCCTTACAAGAGCTCATGAAGGAAGCACTAAATATGGAAAGGAAAAACTGGTACCAGCCACTGCAAAAACATACCAAATTGTGAAGACCATTGACACTATGAAGAAACTGCATCAACTAATGGGCAAAATAACCAGGTAGCATCATAATGACAGGATCAACCTCACACATAGCAATGTTAGCCTTAAATGCAAATGGGCTAAATGTCTCAATTAAAAGACACAGACTGGCAAGTTGGATAAAGAGTCAACACCCATCAGTGTGCTGTATTCAGGAGACCCGTCTCACATGCAAAGACACACATAGGCTCAAAATAAAGGGATGGAGGAATATTTACCAAGCAAATGGATAGGAAAAAAAAGCAGGGGTTGCAATCCCAGTCTCAGATAAAACAGACTTTAAACCAACAAAGATCAAAAAAGACAAAGAAGGGTAATACATAATGGTAAAGGGATCAATGCAACAAGAAGAGCTAACTATCCTAAATACATATGCACCCAATATAGGAGCACCCAGATTCATGAAGCAAGTTCTTAGAGACCTACAAAGAGATGTAGCCTCCCACACAATAATAGTGGGAGCCTTCAACACCTCACTGTCAATATTAGACAGATCAACAGACAGAAAATTAACAAGGATATTCAGGACTTGAACTCAGCTCTTGACCAAGTGGACCTAATAGACATCGACAGAACTCTCCACCCCAAATCAATAGAATATACATTCTTCTCAGCACCATATCACACTTGTTATAAAATTGACCACATAATTGGAAGTAAAACATTCCTCAGCAAATGCAAAAGAATGGAAATTATAACAAACATTCTCTCAAACCACAGTGTAATCAAATTAGAACTCAGGATTAAGAAACTCACTCAAAACCACACAGCTATATGGAAACTGAACAACCTGCTCCTGAATGACTACTGAGTAAATAATGAAATTAAGGCAGAAATAAATAAGTTCTTTGAAACCAATGAGAAAAAAGAGATAATGTACCAGAATCTCCAAGACACAGTTAAAGCAGTGTTTAGAGGGAAATTTATACCACTAAATGCCCACAGAAGAAAGTGGGAAAGATCTAAAATTGACACCTAACATAACAATTAAAAGAACTAGAGAATCAAAAGAAAACATTTAAAAGCTAACAGAAGACAAGAAATAACTAAGATCAGAGCAGAACTGAAGGAGATCAAGACACAAAAAACCCTTCAATGAATCCATGAACTGATTTTTTAAAAAGATTAACAGAATAGGTAGACATCTAGCCAGACTAATAAAGAAGAAAAGCAAGACGAATCAAATAGACACAATAATAAATGATAAAGGGGATATCACCACAGATCCCACAGAAATACAAACTACCATCTGAGAATACCATAAACACTTCTTCGCAAATAAATTAGAATATCTAGAAGAAATGGATAAATTCCTGGACACATACACCCTCCCAAGACTAAACCAGGAGGAAGTTGAATCCCTGAATAGACCAATAAGAGGTTCTGAAATTGAGGCAATAATTAATAATGTACCAACCAAAAAAACCTAGGAACAGACAGATTCACTGCTGAATTCTACCAGAGGTACAAAGAGTAGCTGGTACCATTCCTTCTGAAACTATTCCAAACGATAGAAAAAGAAGGACTCCTTCTTAACTCATTTTATCAGGTCATCATAATCCTGATACCAAAACCTGGCAGAGACACAACAAAGAAAGAAAATTTCAGGCCAATATCCCTGATGAACATCGATGCGAAAATCCTCAATAAAATCCTAGCAAACTGAATCCAGAGGCACAAAGAGGAAGTCAAATTGTCCCTGTTTGCAGATGACATGATTGTATATCTAGAAAACCCCATTGTCTCAGCCCAAAATCTCCTTAAGCTGATAAGCAACTTCAGCAGAGTCTCAGGATACAAAATCAATGTACAAAAATCACAAGCATTCTTATACACCAATAACAGACAAACAGAGAGCCAAATCATGAGTGAACTCCCATTCACAATTGCTTCAAAGAGAATAAAATACCTAGGAATCCAACTTACAACGGACGTGAAGGACCTCTTCAAGGAGAACTACAAACCACTGCTCAATGAAATTAAAGAAGATACAAAGAAATGGAAGAACATTCCATGCTCATGGGTAGGAAGAATCAATATCGTGAAAATGGCCATACTGCCCAAGGTAATTTACAGATTCAATGCCATCCCCATCAAGCTACCAATGACTTTCTTCACAGAATTGGAAAAAACTACTTTAAAGTTCATATGGCACCAAAAAAGAGCCCGCATCGCCAAGTCAATCCTAAGCCAAAGAACAAAGCTGGAGGCATCATGCTACCTGACTTCAAACTATACTACAAGGCTACAGTAACCAAAACAGCATGGTACTGGTACCAAAACAGAGATATAGATCAATGGAACAGAACAGAGCCCTCAGAAATAACGCCGCATATCTACAACTATCTGATCTTTGACAAACCTGAGAAAAACAAGCAATGGGGAAAGGATTCCCTATTAAATAAATGGTGCTTGGAAAACTGGCTAGCCATATGTAGAAAGCTGAAATTGGATCCCTTCCTTACACCTTATACAAAAATTAATTCAAGATGGATTAAAGACTTAAACCTTAGACCTAAAACCATAAAAACCCTAGAAGAAAACCTAGGCATTACCATTCAGGACATAGGCACGGGCAAGGACTTCATGTCTAAAACACCAAAAGCAATGGCAACAAAAGCCAAAATTGACAAATGGGATCTAATTAAACTAAAGAGCTTCTGCACAGCAAAAGAAACTACCATCAGAGTGAACAGGCAACCTACAACATGGGAGAAAATTTTCACAACCTACTCATCTGACAAAGGGCTAATATCCAGAATCTACAATGAACTCAAACAAATTTATAAGAAAAAAACAACCCCATCAAAAAGTGGGCAAAGGACATGAACAGACACTTCTCAAAAGAAGACATTTATGCAGCCAAAAAACACATGAAAAAATGCTCACCATCATTGGCTATCAGAGAAATGCAAATCAAAACCACAATGAGATACCATCTCACACCAGTTAGAATGGCAATCATTAAAAAGTCAGGAAACAACAGGTGCTGGAGAGGATGTGGAGAAATAGGAACACTTTTACACTCTTGGTGGGACTGTAAACTAGTTCAACCATTGTGGAAGTCGGTGTGGCGATTCCTCAGGGATCTAGAACTAGAAATACCATTTGACCCAGCCATCCCATTACTGGGTATATACCCAAATGACTATAAATCATGCTGCTATAAAGACACATGCACACGTATGTTTATTGTGGCACTATTCACAATAGCAAAGACTTGGAACCAAGCCAAATGTCCAACAATGATAGACTGGATTAAGAAAATGTGGCACATATACACCATGGAATACTATGCAGCCATAAAAAATGATGAGTTCATGTCCTTTGTAGGGACATGGATGAAATTGGAAATCATCATTCTCAGTAAACTATCGCAAGAACAAAAAACCAAACACCACATATTCTCACTCATAGGTGGGAATTGAACAATGAGAACACATGGACACAGGAAGGGGAGCATCACACTCTGGGGACTGCTGTGGGGTGGGGGAAGGGGGGAGGGATAGCATTAGGAGATATATCTAATGCTAAATGACGAGTTAATGGGTGCAGCACACCAGCATGGCACGTGTATACATATGTAACTAACCTGCACATTGTGCACATGTACCCTAAAAGTTAAAGTATAATAATAATAAAATAAAATTAAAAAAAAAAAGCTTATCCACCACGATCTAGTCAGCTTCATCCCTGAGATGCAAGGCTGGTTCAACATATGCAAATTAATAAATGTAATTCATCACATAAACAGAACCAATGACAACAGCCACAATTATCTCCATAGATGCAGAAAAGGTCTTTGATAAAATTCAACACCCCTTAATGCTAAAAACTCTCAATAAACCAGGTATTGATGGAACATATCTCAAAACAGTAAGAGCTATTTATGACAAACCCACAGCCAGTATCATACTGAATGGGCAAATGCTGGAAGAATTCCCTTTGAAACCAGTACAGGACAAGGATGCCTTCTCTCACCACTCCTATTCAACATATTATTGGAAGTTCTGGCCAGGGCAATTAGGCAAGAGAAAGAAATAAAGGGTATTCAAATATGAAGAGAGGAAGTCTAATTGTCTCTATTTGCATATTGACATGATTGTATATTTAGAAAACCCCATTGTGTCAGCCCCAAATCTCCTTAGTTTGCTGAAGCAACTTCAGCAAAGTCTCAGGATACAAAATCAATATGCAAAAATCACAAGTGTTCCTATACACCAATAATAGACAAACAGAGAGCCAAATCATAAGTGAACTCCCATTCACAATTGCTACAAAGAGAACAAAATACCTAGGAATACAACTTACAAGGGATGTGAAGGACCTCTTCAAGGAGAACTACAAACCACTGCTCAAGGAAATAAGAGAGGACACAAACGAATGGGAAGACATTCCATGCTCATGGATAGGAAGAATCAGTATTGTGAAAATGGCCATACTGCCCAAAGTAATTTATAGATTCAGTGCTATCCCCATCAAACTACCATTGACTTTCTTCACAGAATTAGAAAAAACTACTTTAAATTTCATTTGGAACCAAAAAAAAGTCTGCATAGCCAAGACAATCCCAAGCAAAAAGAACAAAGCTGGAAGCATCAAGCTACCTGACTTCAAAATATATTACAAAGCTACAATAACCGAAACAGCATGGCACTGGTACCAAAACAGATATATAGAGCAATAGAACAGAACAGAGGCCTCAGAAATAACACCACACATCTACAACCATCTGATCTTTGACAAACCTGAGAAAAACAAGCAATGGGGAAAGGATTCCCTATTTAATAAATGGTGTTAGGAAAACTGACTAGCCATATGCAGAAAACTGAAACTGGACCCCTTCCTTACACCTTATACAAAAATTAACTCATGAAGGATTAAAGACTTAAATGTAAGACCTAAAACCATACAAACCCTAGAAGAAAACCTAGGCAATACCATTCAGGACATAGGCATGGGCAAAGACTTCATGACTGAAACACCAAAAGCAATGGCAACAAAAGCCAAAATTGACAAATGGGATCTAATTAAACTAAAGAGCTTCTGCACAGCAAAGGAAACTATCATCAGAGTGAACAGGCAACTCACAAAATTGGAGAAAAATTTTGCGTTCTATCCATCTGATAAAGGGCTAATATCCAGAATCTACAAAGAACTTAAATTTATAAGAAAAAACAACCCCATGAGCAAGTGAGTGAAGGATATGAAGAGACACCTCTTAAAAGGAGACATTTGTGTAGCCAACTAATATATGTAAAAAAAGCTCATCGTCACTGGTCATTAGAGAAATGCAAATCAAAACCATAATGAGATACCACATCATGGCAGTTAGAATGGTGATCATTAAAAAGTCAGGAGATAACATGCTGGAGAGGATGCGGAGAAATAGGAACACTTTTACACTGTTGGTGGGAGTGTAAATTAGTTCAACCATTGTGGAAGACAGTGTGGTGATTCCTCAAGGATCTAGAACCAGAAATACCATTGGACCCAGCAATCCCACTACTGGTTATATACCCAAAGGATTATAAATCATTCTGCTGTAAAGACACATGCACATGTATGTTTATTGCAGCACTGTTCACAATAGCAAAGACTTGGAACTAACCCAAATGCCCACTAATGATAGGCTGGATAAAGAAAATGTGCACATATACACCATGGAATACTATGCAGACATAAAAAATGGTGAATTCATGTCCTTTGCAGGGACATGGATGAAGCTGGAAACCATCATTCTCAGCAAACTAACACAAGAAGAGAAAAGCAAACAGTGCATATTTTCACTCATTAGTGGGAGTTGAACAATGAGAACACATGGCCTCAGGGAGGGATCATCACACACCAGGGCCTGTTGAGGGGGTGTGGGCCTAGGGGAGGGATAGCATTGGGAGAAATACCTAATATACATGATGAGTTGATGGGTACATCAAACCACCGTGGCACATGTATAAATGTGTAACAAACCTGCACCGTTCCGCACATGTTTTCCGGAACTTAAATTATAATAATAATAAGATTTAATTATGTGTGAGATGATTTTGGAAAGATTTCCAGTAAAAATGGAAATGTCACTATATACCATTACATCTTTATTTTTTATAGTCTGATTTGTATCCTGGCCACTCCAGCAAGATTGTTCTTTGAAGGGTTGCCAGGGGCATACTGATGTAATTTGATAGTTTTGTTTTAGTTTTTGATTCCTGTGCAACATGACATTTCTAATGATTACTCTTACTTTCCAATACTGTCTTACCCTGGCAGCTGTGATTACAACATCTTCATTCTCCCCCTGTCTCGGACTGACCTATCTTGTTTTCCTCCACACATGACCTATAAGGCATTTTCCAAGGTTCAGCTTACGTATCTTTAATCTTTATAAATCTTGAGTACATATCTAATAGTTCATAATCCATCCATCCATCCATTCATCCATCCGTCCATTAAGAATTATTATTGTGCTTAAATATCCTGAATCCATTAATTTATTTTCTGTCTGCCTCCCTTATTCAAGCAGTTAACATATGTTGCTCTTGCTTCCTTTCTTTCTTTCTTTCTTTTTTTTTTTTTGAGACGGAGTCTCACTCTTTCGTCCAGGCTGGACTGCAGTGGCGCTATCTTGGCTGACTGCAAGCTCCGCCTCCCGGGTTCACGCCATTCTCCTGCCTCAGCCTCCCGAGTAGCTGGGACTACAGGTGTCTGCCACCGCGCCCGGCCAATTTTTTGTATTTTTAGTAGAGACGGGTTTCACCGTGTTAGCCAGGATGGTCTTGATCTCCTGACCTCGTGATCCGCCCGCCTCGGCCTTCCAAAATACTGGAATTACAGGCGTGAGCCACCGCGGCTGGCCTCTTGCTTCCTTTCACTCAAGTTTCTTCTCCCCCATTATCTATTCTTTACACAGTACCCAGAAATATTCTTAAATATTCAAATCACATCTCATTCTTTCCCTATTTTAAACCTTCATTGGCTTCCCATCAGAGTTAGAATATAATGTGAACTTCTTATCCTGACTACAAAGTGATCAGTGACTACTTGGTCTGGCCCTTGACTACTTTTCTGACTTCACCTCATGACATTCTTACTCTTCCCAATAATGCTGTAGCCATAGTGACTTTCTGCCTGTTTCCAGAGCAGGCCATATTTGTTTTTAGGCTGTTTGATTCAGCCAAATTTTTTTTTCTGGAATTCTGATCACCTCCCCCACACCATCTTTACTTCTTGGTATTCAGATTTCAGCTTAAATATTGCTTCCTCAGAGAGGCCTTCTGTGATGATCCAAAGCAGCTACCCAGTTTCTCTTTTATAGCATTTTGTTTTCATATGCTACTTGCTTTTTTATTTGTTTATCTGCCTTTCTTACAATAAGAATAGTTACTTTGTCTATTTGCTCTATCTCCAGAGCCTAACATAGAGTAGGCATTCAATAATTATTTGTTAAATGGATGAATGAAATTATGTGCAGATACTGAAGGTACAAAGATAATAGTAGTAATGAGTTGTTTTTTTTTTTACTGCATTGGTTATTAGCCTTTGTTAGGTAACAGGCATCTGTTCATAAGAATCTAATGAAAGCTATGAACTCCCTTCCAATAAAAATGCAATTATGCACATATTATAACATTTTGTCTAAAAATTAGAAGCTTGTTTGATTTATTGAGTACTTACTCTTTGTTAGACATTTTACTAGTGTCCCTGCTATCTTAGAAATGATGGAATACAGTTTCATTAAGTAATAAGCTCTACATAATTAAGCCCTGGTAAAACGCTTCTCAGAACTATGTGTGGTCAAGAACCAACTTTATTTCTCCCCAGTCTGTCATGGCTCTCTATATGATCCTACTGTGCATGACTTGTATGATGCTCATGCCAGGTGCAATTTGCCACATGAGTTTGTCAACATTTAAATTTATTTACACCCTATTGAACTAGATAAGTAAACCAATCATAAGTTTGGATGTCAAATGACTGTAAAAGTATCATACTGTACTTAATTGGTAGCAATGTACAACAAACACATTGCAGACCAGCATCAATCTATGGACCAAATTTTGAATAACACTGCCTTGGAAAGTATCATCAGCCTTGAACTCTCTTCAAGGTAGTGATTCTATATTTTAAACTATCCGATTGTGTCTGTATCTAGATGTGTATTGATATTTTAAAATGGACAGCTTTCCAAACCAAACTTATGTTTTAACTTCAAAACAGAAGAGCCCTTTTGACCTTAAAACTTTTTTTTAATTTCAAAAATTCTAATAGCTTTCTAGTCATTCTAGAGTCAGCTTTTGCTTTTCTTTGTCACCCCATCTAATTTCTTATTAAATCCTTTTACTCCATCTTAATGTTTTTAACTGATTTTTTTATTATTACTCTACTTTTTGGGTATTTTTTCCTACTCCCCCAGCTCCCTGAAATTTCATTGCTACTGATATACCGCATATCTCTTTAGGTACTGTGATTTTCAGAGGGCAACAAATCATTGTAATAGTCTAAAATGTTTTTGCTCCAAATGAAAGCACCCCCATTGAGAATTCATACTCTACCTGTATGATCCTTCTCATGTATGCATTTTCATTTTTATTCTGCTAACCAATATCAAATCCTTATTGTCTTTAACGTTAATTATGATACTCTCTTTGTTTGGTATGTTCTTTTTCAACTTTTATTGAAATCTATCCTCAAAGTCTGTACCCAAACTTACTTTCTCCTATGATATCTGCAGCTGTATATGGCTTTTCCGTCTTCCAGTTTACAATTTCAGTTTTACTAATATTTCTTTTGTGGAACATAGCTTTTCACTGTGCCTGTAAGCATAAACTTCTTGAGGGCAGGAACCATGATTTCTTTTCTTACAATGGCTAGCTCTTAATAGGTGCACAAAACATCCATGGATAAATGAATAAATGACAATTGCTTAAACATAAAATGGTGGGTCCTAAAATAATTGGCAAGTTTATACTCACCCTAAAGCCTTCTTCTTTCATGGATGAGTAAAAACAATTTTCTGTAGTCTTGTCTTCTCCTATTTCTGCCTTCTTTGTCTATACAGGGATACAGTTATTATGTAAGAGGAGATCATGAAAACCTGATATGGTTCCTTGCTTTGTCATCAACTCATTCTTATATTTAGCTATTAGATATCCTAAAGGAGCCAAGTGTAGATGTGTTAACTTGACTCAATGCCTTCATCTTAGTCTTCGATTTGTCACTCTGTTCATAATTTACATATCAATCACAGAAGGTTTGTATTTGAAATGTCCCTTAAATATGGCAGAACATACTTGTTTAAAACAAATGTGTTGAAAGAATGTCTCATAGGGCAGATTTCATTGCCACATTTAGAAGCAAATGCTCATACCCATATGTACTAGTTAATTCCTTCCCAATATGTTTTGCTTGTTTTTTTTAAAAAACTTCCCTGTGCACTAAACTTCAATTACAGAGGGTTTTTGTTTTTTATTAATTTTTATAATTTTTCCTGAAGAGTGCTCCAACACAGGAAAAAAACAACTTTTTAAGCTTATCAATTTACACAAATATTAAAATAGTTTTAAAATATTATGTAAATTAGTTTTCATTTTTAATATAATAGTGTTTAAAGTTATTATATGGAAAATCGTGTAGCTAGTGGAATCCTAGCTTTGGAAACAAACAGTTCTGGTTGTAAGTTTTGTTTTTTTTTATTATTTACTATATGGGTGGCCTTGTTTGAGTTCTTTAGTATGTTTGTCAGGGTTCTCCAGAGAAACAGAACCAAAAAGGTGTGTGTGTGTGTGTGTGTATGTGTGAGTGAAGATTTATTTTAAGGAATTGGCTCACATGTTTATGAAAGGTGGCAAGTCTGCAGAGTGGGCCAGCAGGTTAGAGATCCAGGGAAGAGCCAGTTCTGCAGTTGGTCTGAAGGCCATCTGCTGGCAGAATTTCCTGTTACTCAAGGAGGTCAGTCTTTTGTTCTATTCAAGTCTTCAACTGATTGGATGAGGTCTACCCACATTATGGAGGGCAATCTGCTTTAATCAAAATCTGTTAATTTAAATGTTAATCTCATCCAAAAACACCATCACAGAGACATCCGGAGTAAAGATTTGATCACATATTTTGGCACGGTGACCCAGCCAAATTGACACATACAATTACCCATCACATTTAGCCTTTCTGAACTTCTGTTTTCTCATTTTAAAATATGTGGAATAATGAACTGTCTTGTAGAATGGTTGTGAAAATTACATAAGGTAATGTATCAAATGCCTATTACATAGTAGGCACTTGGTAAATGTCAACAACATAAATTTTTTGTCCCCTTCCTACTCCTTCTTCTTGTGTCCTATTCCTTCTTCCTGTTTTCATGGAATAGAAATAAGATGCATGATTGTTTAGTGGATGATGCAGAATATTCATGTATGCTTTAAAATACATCACAGAAGAGGGCATATTATTTAGAAAAACAAAAGAAAATGACAGTTTTTGTATCAGTAAAGAAGATAGAGTCAGTTAGAACCATTCAGTGTTTTGAAAACAATATATTGAGTTGCTCACTATATTCTATCTGGGTCTTGCTTAGGAAGCTGTAACAGGTTGGGTGACTTATCAGGGTGGTTACTTACTGGCAGAGCAAATAAGAGAGGCTCTATTATGAGTGGAGAAAAAAAATCTATGGAGTAGTATGGAGTCAAAATCAATAGAGGCAAACCAAAAAATAGCAATAGCTCAGATTCAGAAGAGAATGAATCAGATAAGAATCTTCAGTGCATCCTCATTGTTTATGAAATGAAGCCCACGCATCTTATGATAGCATTTAGCACTTTCCATGACTTTACCCACTACCAACCTTTCCAGACATTTTTCTTAGCCCTCTTTGCCTTAGTTTTAGACTATGTTTACACAGTTTTAGTTCTCCACATGCGTGGTGTAATTTTATGCTTCCTTGCTTTAGTTTATATGATTATCTTTGTCTTAAAAGCCATTCCTACCCTTCTTTCTCTGGCTTATTTGCATTTATCCTTCAAGATAACTTAGTTGTCTAACCAGGAAGCCTTCTCTGAAGCCCTAAGGTCAGTTTAAGTGAATGGCTTCATTGCTTCTGAAACCATAGGTTGGTTTAAGTGAATAGCTTCTATTGCTTCTAAGCTTTTCATTATCAATCATTTCTTTGTTGATGTGCCTTCCCTTGTGATTCAAATGCCATATCTCATTCATTTGACAAATCGTGAGGCTCAAACACAGAGCTTAGCATTGTTAGTAAACACTTGTTAACTGTAATGCAGGAATCTTTACCTTGGACAGAGGTTGCTTGTATAACCCAGGTGTCAGCCCAAGAACCATATCCTGTACTTCTCTGTATATCTTTATTTTGACTCTCAGTTCCTCCTTTGTTAGGATTTTGGTTTCCCATGCATCTTACCTGTTTTTCTGTTTTGTTTTGTTTTTGAGACGGAGTTTTGCTCTTGTTGCCCAGGCTGGAGTGCAATGCGCGATCTCGGCTCACTGCAACTTCTGCCTCCCGGGTTCAAGCGATTCTCCCGTCTGAGCCTCCCAAGTAGCTGGGATTACAGGCATGCACCACCACACCTGGCTAATTTTTGTTTTTAGTAGAGACGGGGTTTCTCCATGTTGGTCAGGCTGGCCTCGAACTCCCAACTTCAGGTGATCCACCCAACTCGACCTCCCAAAGTGCTGGGATTACAGGCTTGAGCCACTGTGCCTGGCCTCACCTGGTCTTTTATTTCTGCTTTATGTCATACCTGTTATGGAACTTAACTTTTCTTTATATCGCCAAGAAAATGTATACATTCCCACACAGTACTGTGTGTTTCTGTGTGTGTATGTACACACACACACACACACACACACACACACATTATGCAGCCTTAATGGAAGAATAGAAATTTCTTTAAAAATTGCAGAAGTGAACATGACTTAAAATTGGATATCAAGCACTCCTTAGTTCTCTATGGCTGCTTTACCATGTTTCTGGATGATTCCCTACCCATTTCAAAATCTCTCCTCAATTCACAGAATAATTCATTTGTCTTCAGCAGCTTGGGACATTCTTGCTTCCAAAATTTGAGGTCCAAAGGTAGCTGATTTTTCAAACCTGCTGTGCCTCAATTTCTTGCATTTGCTCTATTCCATTCAATTTTCCTTGAAAACTGGTCTATTATTATCTGATCTAATTATTACCAGCAAGGAACAACCAACGTGTATTAATATATATTTTTAAACTATGTCTACTAGAGTTACCAGCTCAGTTGGGCCCATGATATTCTTCCAAGTTCTCAATGTTGATGGTGTTACTTTATGACATAATAATTTTTCCAGCCCACTAGGTCAATTTTCACACTGCCTTATAGCTAAGCTGTGGACCCATGTTTGAGCATTTTGTTAAGAGAAAATCCAACTTTAAGTAACCATAGCTGCATTGGTTTACATAGGCTTGACTTCTGTAACAAATAAATTCCAAAATATATAATGGTGCAAATATAAGCAAAAGTTATTTCTTGGTCATATAACAGTCCAAGACAGGTAAGTATTCATTCTACATGATGATTCAGGGTTCTAGACTTCTTCCATCTTCCATTTCAGTGACTCCACTGTTCCCAAAGTCTGTCATCATCATCTGTATCTAACTGGTGTGAGGAGAACAATTAAAAGAGGAGATGCATCTACTTCTTAAAAGCCTTAAACTGGAAATATTACATATTCTTTCAACTTATAATCCATTAATGAGAAATAGTCATATGGACACAAATGGACTGAGAAATGAAGTCTATTTGTGTGCCCAGGTAGAATAAGAAATGAATTTTGCAATCAGTAACAGTCTCCACCACAGCATCTCCAGTCCCCATCATTGCAAGTCATATGCTTGTAGACTAGTTGTAGAAGCACAATTAAGCATACACAAACTATTATACAGCAAAATAAAATTGTAAATACTTCAGTATGAGTTTGTATAATGAATATCATACTTATGTATAAATTTGGAGTAAGATATCAATGTGGATTGGAGGACAGAAAGGCTTTCTGGAGATGAGCATTTGAGAATTTGGATAATTTTATTTAGAAATTATGTGGATCACCTGAGGTCAGGAGCTCAAGACCAGCCTGACTGACATAGCAAAACCCCATCTCTACTAAAATACAAAATTAGCCAGGCGTTGTGAGCACCTGTAATCCTAGCTACTCAGGAGGCTAAGGCAGGAGAATTGCGTGAACCCAGGAGGTGGAGGTTGCAGTGAGCCTAGATCACGCCACTACATTCCAGCCTGGGTGACAGAGCGAGACTCCGTCTCACACAAACACACACACACACACACACACACACACACGAAGAAAGAAGAAAAAGAAAAGAAAGAAAAATACAAAAAAGAAAAATACTTAAAGTTTTGTTGTTGACCCGGATGGAAATATACCTTTAATTTTATAGTTTTAAAAACATATTCGGTGTCTTATCATCTGTCTTTATGTTGTGAACAATGTGAATAAAACCCCCCCAATTTTTTTTCTGGAAAAGAAAATATTACACAGAATTTTCTCATTCATAGGTTAAAATATTTTTAAATGGATGTGATTTAAATCTCATCCTCCCCAATCCAACTTTTATGGCTAGATCACCATCAAAGTTGTTTCCAACTCTGATGTTCTGTGATATTTTTCTAGGAAAACTCAAAATTAATGTAAGTGAGATTTTCTTTCTGTATTTGGGATTGAAAAAAGAAATGTTTATTAGTTAAAAAAAGAATTGATAACTTGTAAATGTTGACCCACATTTATGTATTCTATTTTTAAAAGTTTATCCTGAAATTAATCTACAGCTGAATTCTGTTTTCTCAATTTTAGATAATCAAGTTTTCATAAATGGAAAATCTATCATTTATAGGAACATTTCCAACTAAGTCAACAACAATTTCGTAATCACAGTAAAGCAATGCAGCTTACAAATATAAACATTTAGTGACTAGAAAAGAAAGTTAAAACATACCAAATGTCTTTACTTCCTTGATGCCTCCTTACTCCATTGGCTTTATGAGTATTTATGGAAATAACTACTGTCATAAACACATTCTACAGAGAGCAGTAGCTCAGTACAATGCTTATACATTCAAGATAATCTTAAATTCCCACATCATCCTTAGGACTTTTAGGTAGTTAAGGTAAGTCTATCAGTAGCACTCTTGAACATTTGGAGTGCCATATTGGTGACTTTGCATTTTCATAGCCTTGATCTCATTTGACCCTATGTTGTGGGATAAGTGATGCCATCTTAATTTTACAGATGAAGAAACAGGTTTTCAGTTTAAATGTCTCTCCAAATGTCACACAGCTAAACCCAAAGGAAGAGCTTCTAATGGTCACTGTGAGAGGTAAATGAGGATACATTTTGAATATTGAATGATTTGAAGAATTCTTGGGGCACTCAATACACATTTATTAAATGAATGAATGAATGAATAAATAATTTAGAAGCTTCATGGTACCTATTCCTTTTAAAAGCATACTGGACCGCACAATCAGCCTATTTTTTAGGGGAACTCCCCATGTGCTACCTTTGGTAGACCTCAGGGGCTAGTGGGAAGTAATAACAACAGCAAGAAAAGTAATAAAACTGTAATAATTGCTAATATTTGTAAGCATTTTATGATTAACAAAGTGTTTTCACATCTATTGTGGCCTCTCATAAATCCTGGACAAAAATTAGGGTAAGCATGTTATTCCTGTTTGTAGAGAAGGAAGTTGAAGAAATTAAGATTTAGAGAAGTTGTGACTTGACTAAGTGCGCTTAACTAATAAGTGGCAGAATCTGGAGTTCAGCCCAGGCCTACCGGACCTCAAAACCTGTTCTTATACATCTTAGTTAACTTTTGGTTATTCAGCATTTATATGTTTATTTCCTGGCTCATTATTAGCAACTAGAGCATTTCCAAGTTGAAGTACAAGCTAATAACCAGTCTGATGTCCTATATTAGCTTGTAGACTAGCTAGTTGAGACCCTTTGAGTTGAGTAGATAGGAATGTACTTGTTACCACTTTGGGGAACTTTGGCTCAATCCCTGTGTAGGGTTTGAGTATCTGATCTGTGAGGGCTTATTGCATGCATTCATAGCATATCTTATTCCTCCGTAATGGAGGGAGATAATTCATTTCACATCATCTCACAGTTGATGGAGAAAGGGTAACATTTTTGGATTTGGAAAACTCAATCCTTTAGGAATAATCAGGAACATATTATGGGATACAATTTATAACTGTTTCACACAATTAAATGAAATTGGCAGTTAAGTGTGTGTTTTCAGAAGGACTTTGGGCTAGGGTGTGGGTCCTCGTTTATACACTCAGTAAGAAATTTCAAATTAGTTTATTTATATCAAGTTAATCTGACTCTGGATTTCCTTCTCACTGGGATTAGAGGAAATTCATTTTCACATCTTAACTGAGGCTTTCTTTCTCAAAAGTCACATAAGACTCCAAGAGGTGTATGTGATGCTTACGCTAGGAGATAAAACATTCTGATTTTTAAATGTCTGGGTACCATGACACCCTCATAATTCAAGCTCATGCAACTCCTTGAATGTGGGAAGTCTCACACAAGCAGGACATGAGGGTCTTTATTGGAGCTTTTGCCTAGCTTCAGAGACCTAGTGCCTAGCGTTCTTCCTCTGTAGGTACCCTGCGAAGCCATTTATTACTGAGGATTGCCAGGGAGCACCTCTTCCTCCCACCATTCCTGGAATCTTTGACTTCTCTTTCCCAAAGTATAGGACGTTTTTCTTCCCTTCTCTGCTTCCAATGGAACTCTGCTCTTTCTACTAGCATAATCCTAGCTAAGGTCAGGAAAAGAAGTGTTGGGGGCAATGTTTTCTTTTTTATTGCCACGCAAACCTCCCTTGAGGTAAGAGATCTCAAAGAGCCTAGAGAATAGAGCGTATGGTGTGTGGGTGGGAGGCAGGGAAATAAATGTTCAGTGTTGGAAAAAATAGAATGTGGGATATCATTTACCAGCACAGATTAGCATCTCAATAAATTATCTTATAAAACAGTCCATTGTTAGTGTGGCATTTATTTTTTTCTTATACACGGATTGGTATTATCTAGGAATCAGAAGACCTGACACTTATTATCTATGTGGTCTTGGGAAAAATCACCTCACTTCTCTGAATGTGTGATCTCATCACTAAAATGGAATAATGAACCTTGTCCTGCTTAGTTGACAATATTTCTGTTTCACACAATTAATAGAAGATAGCGTAACTGTTCTGTAAGTTGCTAATATACTATAAAATAAAAAGAGTTCTGATATTGTGAATGCATCGCAAGAGAGAAATGTCTCAGTATGTTTTAAGTCATGATAGCCAAATTATAATAAAAATACCTTTTTGGAAAAGTCACAAATAATTTCCACTTATATCGCATTGGACAAAATGTGTCATATGGCCACGTCTATTTTCAGGGGGTCAAAAGGTGAAATTCTACCCTGTGCCCTGGAAGTGAACAGAATAAATATGGCCAGAGAAGTATTGATCATCTATTATATTCCAGGAAACATTATATACTTTATCTCTAATTCTCCTAAGAATCCCATGAAATAGGCACTATTTTTCTAATATTTCAGATGAGGAAATATTAGAAGCTCAAAGACAAGTAACTGTTAGTAAATGATAGAGCTGGGATTTGACTTTAGTCAAATCAAAGGCCTGGACTCTTTCCACTGTGTCACTCATTTCCTTGTCCCTGCAGTTTTGCTAGCCACAGATGACTTGGAATGGAAGATTTAAGTTTAGGTTAATATTATCAATTTGTCAAAAGTAATAATAAATAATAGGAGTGTTACAAGCTCCACGCTCTTACATCTGGGCCTTGTTCTTCCCATTCTGTATCATGCAGGTAATTGGTGCTGTGTTTTGGGGATTGGATGATTTATATGTATATCACACACAGACCATATACATATACACATATCATATTGGTTCTTTTTATCTATGGGATCCTGAGTAATGTGATTATCGCAGCACTCTGGGATGCCAAGGCAGGAGGATCACCTGAGCCCAGGAGTTCAAGAGCAGCCTGGGAAACATAGGGAGACTCCAACTCTACAAAAATTTTAAAAAATATTGCAAGGCATCATGGCATGCACCTATAATTCCAGCTACTTGGGAGCTGAGGTTGGAAGATTTCTTGAGCCTGGAAGTTTGAGGCTGCAGTGAGTCATGATGGTGCCACTGCACTCCAGCCTGGGTGACAGAGCAAGACCTCATCTCAAAAAAAAAAAAACAAAAAAAACAAAAACAAACAGAAAGCAAGAAACTAAAAAAAACCCATATGATTATGAAATTCAACAACAAAGATGAACTGTTCTTTAAAGGAGAGACTCAGACTCAGTTCTTCTTTTAGTCATCATTTTATTGAGGCTCCTTAATGGAATATTTGCATTGACATTTACACATTGTCTTATGTGGATATTAAGTAGTTGTTACCACCAGGAAGCTAAGTGACCAAATGTTTAATTTTTTTTTTCTGAAAATGCTGGCTGCTAGTGTGGATCAATGTCATTGCATTTCTAGCAACATTTGGCTTACCTTACTTAAAACAAGTTACAAAAAATTAAGAACAGAAAGATTGATTTTTTTCTAAGTTTTATATTTTCTCCTGACAACTTCTCTGTAACCCCAGGCACAGATTAATGAATGGCACATGCACAAAGTGATATCAGCTCACATATATGACATTACTCGGATGTCTCAAACCCGGAAAAAGCATGTGAATGATTTATGGAATTGATATTAATCTCTTTCCAGTAAATGCATTACTTTAGTTACATGGGAAATTGATGTTACTACTCTAATGCCAAATTAATTTCTTTCTTGCTGGATCAGCATTACAAATGGGATTAGATGTTAGCCTTTTACATATCTAAACAGGGTAAAATATGGAAAGCAATCTTATAAGTAAAATTTGGCTGTCATTGCTGATGGGAAGAGTATACACTTTTTCTTTGTTTGTATATTTTCTTCTCTCTCAGATTTGTGTATCCAAAAGTATGGGATAATATTTAAAGTATAGCTTAATATTACTTAGGAATAGAATAAATAATTGAGTCTGAATATTTAACACAGGGTTATAAATAACAGTATTGCGAATGAGAATTATGTGTTATTAAAAACCCCTAAAATCTTAAAGAAGATGACTATTTTTCAAGGAAAATTTTATCCCATAATTCTTAACCATTAATAAACAGACAATATTTTTAACTCATAGTGCATAAAGGAAGCTGGAAACTTATTAGGCAATCTCTTCTTCCATGTATATGCCTGGGTCTGCATGATCTAGAATCTCCTTGTTCCTAAATACTTTATATTCCATTCCCTGCCCTTCAGGCCAACTTTCTTTTTAAGGTTTTTAGTTTCTGTTTCAAGCTTGCTGAGTGTTCACTTGCCTGCCATAGGGTTGACTGGCCTATTCAACATACTCTAACAAACTCAGTCTTGTATTTCAATTCCTAATTATAAGAAGGAAAATATGATTTTCTCAGTTTGGGTCTGGTCAACTGTAAACCAAAGAAGGTGGTCATTGTGTATATAGGGCTGCCTCTTCAGGGATGTGGGTAGGAGAGATTCTCTAAGAGGCTATGAGTGGAGGAGAAGTAATGGACATCTCTAATATAGTTGGGTTTCAGGTTTGCAAAGTTTCCTCCAGTTTGACCAATCTGATTTTGTGAGCAGCTCTCACCTTAGACCTTTACCTTTCTCATCCTGGCTTCCAGCAGTTAAATCTGCTACTGATGGGTTTTGACTTCTATCCCAGTCTGCCTCATCTCTGAGCCATTTCTTGACCACAGCATAATGTCTATGAGCAGTATTAGAGATGCTGCCAATTAGTCTTGTTATCTAATATACAAGAGACAAACCCTGGTCACTAGTCTGTAAGTTGTTACATTTCCTGCATTATTTTCATTGGTATTGTCTGTAAAAATGAGTTCTTTCTTGATACCTTCTTTTCTGTGCCAAAGTCTTACTCATCACTCAGCTTAGAATATTAGAATTAGTATCTCTTCAAGCGTAGGTTATTGCCTGAACCCTTGCCCTCTAGATATGAATCTGGGCTGGGAGGCCTAATTTTCACCATGTCTATACTCATATCTACTTTTCATTTTTACCAATCGCTGGATAAAATCTAGATATGAATAGACATATTTCCTTGGACCACTAAGTGGCAAATATGCTTGGTCTACATTATTGTATATGCCCATTACCTAGACCTTTTGGAACCTTTTCCAGCTTAAATCATGTCTGAGCATCCTATGCTTTTTGGACATTGTGCATCAGACTTTCTGGCTATCTTGCTGGGGCCACTCTCTTCTGATCCAGTTCTGAATCCTGAAAGCATACTCTAATTATGATGGTATTATTCTGGTTGTATCTGTAAAGTAGTACTAGTGAGAGTTAAGGGTGGTAATGATAAGAGCTGAGCATGCTGCCTCAGGTAATCTCAATGACTCAGGAGCCTGAGGCAGAAGGACCACTTGAGTCCAGGACTTTGAGACCAGCCTGGGCAACATAGCAAGACCCCATCTCTTAAAAAAATACATAGCCAGGCATGGTGGCATATGCCTGTAAACCCCAGTGACTGGGGAGGCTGATGGGGGAGGATTGCTTCAGCCTAGGAGCTTGAGGCTGCAGTGAGTCATGATCCTGTCATTGCAATCCATCCTGGGCAACAGAGTAAGACCTCCCACTGAAAAAAAAGATGGTAATGATTGAAATTAGGTGAGTGTTTCCCTACCTAAGAAACAGCTAGTTTTCAAAAGACTTGAATAGACATTTCTCAAAAGAAGACATACAAATGGCAAACAGGCATATGAAAAGGTATTCAATATCATTGATCATCAGAGAAATGCAAAGCAAAACTATAATGAAATAGCATCTCACGCTAGTTAAAATGGCTCATAACCAAAAGACAAGCAATAAAAAATGCTGGTGAGAATGTGGAAAAAAGGGACCCCCTCATATACTGTTGATGAGAATGTAAGTTAGTACAACTATGGAGAACACTTTGGAGGTTCCCAAGTTAATGAAAATAGAGCTACCATATGATCCAGCAATCCCACTGCTAGGTATATACCCCAAAGAGAGGAAATCAGTATATCAAAAATATATCTGCACTCCCATATTTGTTGTAGCACTGTTCATAATAGCCAAGATTTTGAAGCAATGTAAGTGTCCAGCAACAGATGAATGGATAAAGAAAATGTGACATGTATACATGATGGAGTACTATTCACCCATAAAAAGAATGAGATCCTGTCATTTGCAACAACATGGAACTAAAGGTCAATGTGTTAAGTGAAATAAACCAGACACAGAAAGACAAACGTCTCATGTACTCGGTTATTTGTGGGATCTAAAAATCAAAGTAATTGAAGTCATGAAGTTAGAGAGTAGAAGAATGTTTAGCTGAGGCAGGGAAGGGTAGTGGAGGGTTAGGGTCAGTGAGGCTGGTTAAGGGTATGAAAAATAGTTAAAAAGAATGAGTAAGACCTAGTACTTGATAGCGCAACAGGGTGAGTATAGTCAATAATAACTTTGTTGTACATTTTAAAATAACTAAAAGAGTATAATTGGATTGTTTGTAACAAGGGATAAACGCTTGAGGGGATGAATACCCCATTTTCTGTGATGTGATTTTTACACATTGCATTGCACGTCTCTATCAAAACATCTGATATACCCCATAAATATATACACCTACTATGTTCCCACAAAAAATAAAAATTAAAATTAATGGCTACTTTTCATATTTTGACACCATTTGTTTCTATGCAGAATTTTGATCTGTGATTTCTGCCATTTATTTCCTATTCCAGGTATCTTGGTAGCACTAGACCTAGATATTCCTTCAATGATTTTATATCTGTTGGTCTTATATAATATTTGTACAACACTGCATTGAACCCTAGGGGTACATGTGAGATGGGAGGAACAGGAAAAGATATACTTGACATAGTGTTTGCCTTCAGAAAAGCTGGAAACCTAGTTGAAGATGCAGCACATATTCATCAATAATACCTGGGAGTGAATCAAGCAAGGGAGAGAAGAAAGGTTGAATCCTCACTCATTAATTTATTACTCAAATATTTATATAGTGTCTCCTGGGTCAGATTCTGTCCTAGGCAATGGCAACTCAGAGGTAACTAAGACAGGATCCTTTCTCTCAGGGAGCTCATAGTGTGATAGTGGATACAAGTAAGTACACTATAAGGCTGTAGGGGCTGATAGCGTTCAAGACACTGTCATCTGTCCACTGCCTGTTCCTTAAATACGCTACTCATGTTCTCACTTCAGAGTGTTTGAACTTCTTCTGCCTGGAATACTCCTACATGATACATAGATACTTATATGGTACATTTCTCATGTCATTCACATCTCTGCTGAAATGTCATCTTATCAGGGAGGTCTTTGCTGGCTACACAATTAATACAGTACTGTATTAGTCAGCTCTCATGCTGCTAATAAGGACATACCCAAAACTGGGTAATTTATAATGGACTCATGGTTCCACATGGCTGGGGAGGCCTCACAGTCATGGCAGAAGGCGAAAAAGGAGCAAAGGCATTTCTTACATGGCAGCAGGCAAGAAAGCATGTGCAGGGGAACTGCCCTTTATAAAACCATCAGATCTCATGAGACATATTCACTATCATGAGAATAGCATGGGAAAGACCTGCCCGCATGATTCAGTTACCTCCCACTGGGTGCCTCCCATAACATGTAAGGATTATGGGAGCTACAATTCAAGATGAGATTTGGGTGGGGACACAGCCAAACCATATCAAGTACTCTCTTTCCATATTCCGTATCTCTGTTATCCAACTTTGTTTTTGTTCTTAGCACTTACCATCACCAGACCTGTTATATATTTATTTTCGTATTATAAATCTACACCCTCTGGAATGTAACCTCCCTGAGAATAGGATTGTGTTTGTTTTATTGAGTACTTTATGTCCCCAGCACCTAGTACAGTGTTTTGTACATAATGGGTGCTAAAAAATACTTACTGATTACATAAGTGAGTAAATGAATGCATGAAGAATGAATGAGCAGAGTCTGTATAGGGTATTATAGAGTCACCAAGGAGGGAGTGGCCATGTTTACCTAGGGATAAAGAGTGGTGTCAGGAGACGAGGGCTGAGAATAGAGGGTATTGGAGTAGAGACTGTTTTGTCACATGCAATTAATACGTCTTTGCAGAGGCATAGGTTGATGACAATATTTCAGAGTTTATAGCAGGAGAGTGTCTTAAGCAAGGGCTACTTTTAAATTCCATCTTAGTGATGTGGCATTCTATATTAATACAATTTTTAATGTTTTTCTTAATATCATCATATTGTTTTTAATGCCTCTGCCTACTAGTGGTATAGTGAGGAGTCTTTCACTGAGTTGTGGGTTTCTTGAGGTGGGCTGGGCTCAGAGTTTATTTGTGTATTATCAGAACCTGGCACAGTGGTTATGGGCTGCTTTGTCAGTAAGATATTCTTTTTTAGTAGCAATTAATTGGGCTTTCCTTCAACCCGGAACATTCTAGGATTCTGTGATTCTCCCTTAGCCTGGCACTTCTACAGGTATTGTTTAAGTTTCTTGCAGGTGATGCGCTTTTTAGTTCATTAAATCTTATAGCTCTGGCTTCTTTCCCATATCTTTCATCTGGGATATTTATATGTCTTCTTCAATCATTGCACTGCAGTGATTTAGTTACATGTAGGTCTCTTCAGTGAGACTTTGAACTGTTGGGACAAGGACTTCTCTTAGATTCTCTTTCCCATGGTGTGACTTAGTACAGTACCTGGCACATAGTAGTTCTGCAGTAAATGTTTGCAGAATAAATGACTAGAAAATTGATGAGACCAAAGTTAGAAAATTAACATTTATCAAGGAAACCCAGGAGAAGGAGAAAGGGTGACTTGTGACAGGGTTTTGCACAGCACTGTGGGCATTAGTGGTCTACATTTCTAGAATGACCAGCTAGTCCAGTGTTCCTTCCTCTAACATCAGTATTCATAGATTATGTGGAGAAACCCATGAATGAACTTACATCCCTTTCTCCTAGCCAAGCACCTTTATGTCAGTGTTTGTTAGGTTGGAAGAATGTAGATAAATGGAACTGGCTCTTTTTTGATGTATATAGGTAAATGTGAGTATGTCATCAAAGTATAACATCTATCTGTCTCCAAATCTACAAGTCCATGTATACAGCCTTGTGTCTCCCATTCTTAACAGCCCTAGAATGTAGGTGTTGGAGGAAATCATGCTCAGAGGGATCCCTATGGATATTTCTCCCTTTCGTTCCACCTTGGAAGCATTGCTTTACCCAAACAATTGGAGTTTAACAAATGCTATGACTGTTTTAATTTTAGCACTAAGCCAGAGGGGGAATGATTATATTTGTAAGCAGCACAGTGAATGTATTCGTGCTTTGTCTGTGTCTATAATTTTCTATTTTTTCTTAAGAATTTTAGTTTTCTCATTGAGGCTACATTAATTCACTTGACAGATACTCATTGATCATTCATTATGTGCAATGATTGCTTATGTACAAGGCTTAAATACTTAATAACAACCACAACAGAAAACAAACAAAAATTTGTTTGAATGAGTACTTTTGTAACTAGCACTGTGGCATGTAACACTGTGGAGGCAACATGACGTAGGGAGAAGAAAATATACTTTGGAATTAGATGGCTCTGGATTCTGATTTACCTTTGTCTTTCGCTAACTCTGTTTTTTGATGAAGTATTTACGTTTTGTGGACCTTGGTTCTCTAATTTGTAAAACTGACAAAATTGAGGATGAGATAAAGTGCTATATAATTTGTCTAGTAATATATGGTGACTATTGGCTGGACATGGTGGCTCATGCCTGTAATCCCAGCACTTTGGGAGGCTGATGCAGGAGGATTGCTTGAGCCCAGGAGTTCGAGATCAATCTGGGCAACATAGCGACACCCCATCTCTAAAAAAATTTTTAATAATATGGTGAATATCATTATAATAATTGAGTACCAAACAGGTAAACTGTAAAGTGCTTCGATTAGTGTAAAAGTACCTAGAGACATTATTATTATTAGTCTTTATCCTTAGGGAATTTGTCTTCTATTAATAGTTGGGTAGCTAAGATACTTATAAAGTCTAAGTAACAAAAATTAAGAATGAACTTTGTAAGTACCCAAGAAAGCCATTCTCTTTCATAGAAATTTTACTATGTATTTACTATACAGCTTTAAATAAAGCTGTATAAATTCTCAATTAAGCGCTATAAATAACAAGTGTTGTAGATATGCAGAAATGGATGAAATGCAGACTGGAATCCTCATGACCTGCAACCCCAGATGATTCTGATTCAGGAAGTCTGCAGAGCACACATTGGAACACCATTTTCCACAGGATCCATTCCAACATAGAAGTTCTTAGATAAAAGTGGTGATAAAACACATCATTTTACCTCATGATTATTTACCTCTCTTTTACCTGATGAAAGTTTGAATTTTGTGAAAGTCAGTGTTTCGGATAGATATCTAGGTCCCAGACCTTGAAGCTCTTCTCCCACTTAACTCTTTACTCTTATTTTCACTACCTTAAGTAGAAAAGTAACTAAGTCCTGCTGGTTTAATTGCCTATATATTTGATACTGTGCCACCCTTTCTGTGACTACTGTGATTGTCTTAGTTCAGGCTGCCATGACTATTGCAGTAATTTCCTAATTTAGCTTGCTACCTCAGGTGTCTACCTTTTCAATATGTTGTATATGTTTTTGCTCAAGTCATTTTCCTGAAGCATAGATTTAATCATATCACTTTCTACTAAAAAACTTCCAGTAACTTCCCAATGCCTTTTAAATGAATTGAAACTTCCTCAACATGTCACTTAAGAGCCTTTAGGTTGAACTTAACCTATCTTTCTATTCTTCCTTTGTTTCAGTCTGCTATATTTACCCAGTATTCCAGTCAATCAGAAGTATTCACTATACATGAAACATGTTTTTTGCTGTTTTTTCTTCATTATTCTTTTGTTTTAGAAATGCCTTCTTTATATAGCCTTCTCCAGTACCCCCTATTAACATCAAGTCTTCACCTTATGATAAAATAATTAATTATTTAAGATCTATTTCAAATGCCATTTTATCCATAAAAACTTTCCTGAAATTTATAATTAGATGTGTGGTATCTCCCTGTACTAAAACAATTGTTTAAACTGTTCTTTTAGAATATAATATTCTACTTTCTAGTATAGTTACTTTTTCCTAGAATGTAATAGGCCCTTTAATGACATACATTATTTCTTACTCCTCTTTTTACTTCCCTGATGGATTTGGAATAGATTCTTGTATCTAGTAGTAAGTTATAGATATAAGGGCACTCTGGAGTCCCACAGACTTCAGTTCAAATTCTGTCTCTGCTACTTACTGGTTGTGTGACTTTGTGTCTGGTACTTAGCTGAGCCTCATTTTCCTCAACTGGAAGGAAAACCTTCACCTACCTTATAGGGAGGAAAGTGGTAAAGATCAATTTTGTATGATATGTAAAGCATCTGGAACAAAATAGGTTTATATTGAATGATAATTATGATTGTTTTAGAAGCAGATATTTTTTAATGGAACTGAAAGTAGCCACTGTGAAACTAAATAATTAATATGGGGTGGGAAGGTATTATTGGAGATAGCTAATCCACTAAATAGACAGGTGTTTGAAAAATTACAGGATTTATATAGCAAGTTTTCTAGTATTTTTAAATTTAGGCGGAGATTTCATTATAACTTCCCAGCAGCAGTACTTGAGATAGATAAGGTTGAAGCCTTGATTGTTTACAGCATTTTGTCTGGTTGTTATCCTTTCTTTATATAAATTTCTCTGTATCACACATGGGGAGTTTGAAGCTGGTATTAATTTTGCATTATTTATATGAAGTTATTTTTTATTGTGGTAAGAACAATTAACATGAGACTTACCCTTGTAACACATTTTTAAATGTGCAATACGGTATTATTAGCTATAGATATAATGTTGTACAGCAGGATATCATTTGGTTTTGACAATAAACTATTTGGTTACAGCAGTTAGGTGTTAGAAAATATGTTGCAATGCTCCTTTTATACTTTGGTTTATAGACCTGTAAGTTCATAGTTCTGCTATAATAGTTCCACCAACTCTTTATTAGAGACTGCATTCCAATAGCACTGGTGTTGTCCAGAACACCATTTTTGGTTCTTAAGAATAGTGGGAATTGAACAATGAGAACACTTGGACACAGGGTGGGGATCATTACACACCAGGGCCTGTCGTGGGGGGAGGGGGGAGGGATAGCATTAAGAGAAATACCTAATGTAAATGACGAGTTAATGGGTGCAGCACACCAACATGGCACATGTATACATATGTAACAAACCTGCATGTTGTGCACATGTACCCTAGAACTTAAAGTAAAATAATAAAAAAAAATGTAATTGGATGCTACAAGGGAAGAATTTTCCTGTGTAGTTGAAAACCGATTGCAATAAAATGTAATATTTAATAGTATTATTCAATTGGTAGCACATAACTCCATATTTACACTGATTGATTTTCTTCAATTGCCTAACCGCCTACTAGGTTCAGATTTTTCCATGTTAATTTTGATTTAGTATTTTTATTTCTGAAAGCAAATAGGGAGCAAACCATATATTATCGCTGCATGTTTTTTTCAGAAGCTAGTGAGAACCTCGGAATCTATAACAATGAAATAATGTGAAGGTAAATTACCATAATATACAAGGGGATTTCATATCCTAGCAATCTTCTATAGACTGCTAACTTGAATCATACCCATGTGCAAATTATCTATATACTACGATGTCAGAAACATAAATTAGTTTCTACTATGTTAGGAACAGGGCATTTTTCTGATATATTCAACGTGCTTTTTCTCCTAATATTTATAAGTATTTAGGAATAGTAAGTTGTCTTATGCTAGACAAGTGATATTCTTAAACGGATAATTCATTCGTTAAATTATAAGTCCTCATGTTCAGAACAGAAATATAAAAAGAATGTCACACGTATATGTATATACTAATTTTTATAATTTTAATAGTAATTGAGAAAAACTTGAGGGGATATAATCTTATTATATTTATTAACTGACTTCATGTAATTGTAACTAAATTCAGCTCTGTGCATTTATGAAGTAAGTTGTCTGAGAGGCACCCCAAAGTCAGTGTGCATCAAAGTTTGTAGTCTTTTCAACATTGAGCCTCCTCCTGTCTTCCCTTTGTGAATCTATAGACATCCTCATCCACCCCGTCACTCAAACAAGAAATCCAAATTAAAATCTCTTCAAGGCTCTGTGGCTGATGAGTAATATACAATCAATAAATAGAGAAAATAGAAGCAATTGGAAGAGAGTTTCCAAAAATTTCTGTCACCATATTCACCAGCTTCCTTGCATCTGTGCCCTTTACTGTTTCTTTCCATCTTTTACTGGAGGAACTGTTTCTGTTCTTATCTGAGGGTAATCTCTCCATTTGCACATTACATGTTGCTGTAGTCTGTTTAGGTTGCTATAACAAAGTACCGTAAACTGGGTTCCTTTTAAACAACTGTACTTTATTTCTCACAGTTCTGGAGGTTGGAAAGTCCTAGGTCAAGGCATTGGCAGATTTGACATCTGGTGAAGCCCCACTTTTTGGTTAATAGATGATGCCCTCTCACTGTGCCCTCACATGGGTGGAAGGGGCAAGGCAGCTCTCTGGGGCTTCTTTTGTAAGGTCACTTATCCTATTCATTGGGGCTCTGCCCTCATGACATAATTATCTCCCAAAATTCCTCACCTCTGAACAGCATCAAATTAGTGATTAGGTCTCAACATTTGAATCTTGGAGGAACACATATATTTAGATCATAGAATTGTGCTGCTGGCCCACTAAAACTTGTCTTTTTCAGAAGCAGAATGCATTCATTCCATCCCAGTAACCCCAAAAGTGTTTACTATTTCCAGCATCAACTCAAAAGTCAAAAGTCCAGAGTCTCATCTATCATCTCAATTAGATATGGATGAGACTCAAGGTATGATTCATTCTAAGGCAAATTACTCTCTAGCTATGTACCTATGAAATCACACATGTTATGTGCTTTCACATTACAGTGGTGAGACAGTCATAGGATAGATACTCTCATTCTAAAAGGGAGAAATAGGAAAGGAGAAAGGGGCAGCAGATTGCAAGTCTAAAACCTTAAGGATATAGAATCATCTTATTTGACTTGAGGCTCTGCCCTCCAGACCTTCCAGGGGAGAGATCCTATTTCTGCAGCTTTACTTGGCAGGGATTGAGTCCCCAAAGCTCTGGGTAACCCTGCCCTAATCGCTTTGCAGCTTTCAAGGGTTGGAGTCACCTGTCTGTTGCTTTCCTAGGCTGGATTCACATGCCAGTGGCTCTACTGGTCTGGGATCGTGGGGGTGGCTGTACCCCACTAGGTACAGCCTAGACATTGACCTAGTGGAGACTCTCTGCAATTGCCCCACTCTCAGCCAGCTCAACCCAGCACTCTGCCTGGATTGCATGCCTAGAACTCTGGGAGGCTCCATCCTCCAAAATCTAGATGGAGGTAGCCACATTTCCACAGCTTGTGTAGTCTGAGAACTGGCAGAGGTGGCACCACACAGATATTGGCAAGGTTTACTGTCTGTGTCCTCTAGAGGGGTGGCAACTACTGCCTGTACCACACCTGGGCCCACTGGAGCTGAACCTGGGGTGGTCAAAGACTGCTGCACCAGAATGCTGGGAACAGAGCTTTGGGGTGGTACTGGCCAGCGAGTATGTGGGTCCTGTGGGCACCTATGGCCCCTTTTTGAAATTATTCTGTCCCCCAGGTCCTGGCACTCTGGGCCTGTAATAAGAGGGGTATCCCTGGTAATCTCCAAAATGCCTTTGGGATCATTCTTCCATAGTTTTGATGAATAGAACTTGGCTGATTCATATTAATCTTATCAAATGTTCACTTGGTTACACCATTAGTATTCTCTCCCAAACATGCTTTCTCATTTGTTACAATTTGGAGAGGCTGAGAGTTTTTCAGATCTTTAAGTTCTGCTTCATTTTTTTATTTAAAATTCCATCTTTAAATTATTTTTCTATTTTTTACATTAGAAGCCAAGTTGCACCTTCAACACTTTGCTTAAAACTTTCTTTAGCCAAATGTTGTATTTCAGTATTCACAAGTTCTACCTTCAACAAAATACTAGGACACAGAAATACTTCAACAAAATACTAGGACACAGACACAATTAAGCCAAGTTCTTTGCCATTTTATAACTAAGATTGCCTTTCTCCATTTTGCATTAATATGTTCTTTATTTCTTTCTAAGAACTCATCAGAATGACCTTTGCCATCCATATTTCTACCAATATTCTGATCATGACCACTTACATATTCTCTGAGAAGATTGAGGCTTTCTCTATAACTCCCCTGCTGTCCTTCTAAGCCTTCATCAGAGCCACCCTTAACAGTCTGTTTATAGGAATGTAGGCTTTTTCTAGCACACACCTCCAAGCACTTCCATCCTTTACCCATTACAGTTTTAAAGCCACTCCTACATTTTAGGTATTTGTTATAGCAGTACCTGATTATCAGTACAAACATTTGCATTAGTCTGTTTGGGCTGCTATTTAAAAAATGCCATAAGCTGGGAAGCTTTTAAACAATGAAAATTTATTTCTCACAGTTCCAGAGGCTGGGGAGACCCAGATCAAGGATTTGGCAAATTTGGTGTCTGGTAAAGGCCCAGTTTCTGTTTCATAGATGTGCCTTCTCGCTGTGTCCTCACTTAGCGAAAGGAGTAAGGCAGCTCTCTGAGGCCACTTTTATAAGGGTACTTATCTTATCTATGAAGGATCCACCCTTATAACCTTATCAGTTGCCAAAGACTCAGTCTACAAATAGCATCACATTGCTGATTAGGTTTTAATGTATGAATTTTTGGGAGAAACAAGCATTCAGACAATCTCAAACACCATTTAATTTCAGCTACTCAAGGACATCACCTCAGCAGTTCTTCTCTGTATCTTGTTTATTGCTATTTTTTATCTCTATGTTATTTCCATTGGCATACAAATATGCTGTTATTTCTTCTATCTTTAAAAATCTTTCTCTTTGCCCCACAACCTCATAAGTTACTACTTCCTTTCTCTGCTCCCCTTTACAGAAGAAAAATATTTATAGAGTTGTCTGGCTGTAATTTCTTTTTCCCTGAAACCCATTCAATCAGGCTTTTCATGAGCCATACCCTTTCTCCAAAACTGCTCTTCTCAAGTTCATTAATAACCTCCAGTTTGCTAAATCTGAATTCTTATCTTCTGTTCTTATAGTTCTGTCAACAGGATTTGACCCAGTTAACTATTCTCGTTCCCTCTTCTTTGATATACTTCTTTACTTGGCTTTAGAAATACATACGAAACTCCCTTGTTTTCCTTCTCCATCATTGGCCACTTCTTTATGTTTGCTGATTCTGCCTCATTTCTTTATCTTCTATAAACTGAAATGTTTCAGGGCTCAGTTCTTGTACATTTTCACTATCTACAATTATTCCCTTTGGTTATCTCATCTAATTACTTGACTTTAAATATAGTCTACACCGTGATGTGCTTTAGAGTCATATGTCAGGGGTGAGCCCAGATAAGCCACCATTCAACCCAAGAAACAGGAAGAAATAATGAAAATGTTGCTATAAACCTCAAAGTTTTTTTGTGGTTTGTTATGCATCTAGGGATACTCTAATGTAAAGATTGACTTCGTCACCAGGAAAGCAAATTTAAATGTGTGAAAAGCCTGATTCTCAAATTGTTTATTTTCAGAATGTATTAATAGGTTTCTATCTCACCAGCAAATATAAATGTTTGTTAATTGATGAAAATGCAAATTATTTATAAAGAGTTACACTAGTTAGTCCTACAATTAATGAACAAAGTGGAGCCCAGTTTTATGAATCACTTAATAAATTCAGCCTTCAGTAATATAACAAAACTATCAGTGTTTTCAAAAGTAATAAATGTAATGAATTCAATACATGATTTTTCCTAAGCCTGAGCCAGTATAGTGTGAATTACTTGCATATAGGTGAAATTATACTCCATAATAAATGTTGAATACTCTTAAGTAAATAATTTTAATGTACTCATTGCCCTTCCTTTTGACCTCATCCATTGTATACTGTACTTAGAGAATGGCTTACACTGGAGATGTCCAACCTTTTGGCTTCCCTGGGACACATTGAAAGAATTATCTTGGGCCACACACAAAATACACTAAGACTAATGATAGCTAATGAGCTAAAAAAAGGTCCGTGCATAAGTTTTGTAATATCTGCCATCACAGGTAAGCAAAACATTCCTCGCATTCAAAGGGTTGGACACGGCTGGCTTACACTAACACATTGATAGTTTTTTTGTGAGAGAAGAGTGCTTTTAAAGTTATACTTTAATATAAAAGAATTATGGTTTAAGATTTTAAGGAGTCTGTTGTGAGAAGCTGTAACAGCCACATTTTAACTACTAATTTAAAAAAATTCCAACCAGGTAAGGTTCATCAACACTGTATTTTTAGCAATTAGCAGCACACTTAAAGAACAGTCCAAATGTACAATTTTCTAGCATGAATTTAAACCACACATCTTAGGATAGGTTACTTTGTTTTAACTTCTTTCTAATAGTAGTATCTTTTGTATTTCAAAGAAACATCAAACAAAAAAATCAGAAGTGTTAATAACCAAATATTTTCATTGACATCAGATTAGAAAAACTGGGTTTATTAAGATAGTACAATTATAGAATTTTGGTCAATAATAATTATGATACTGATGGCAATGACATATTTGCTAAATACTATAGTACCACTTTCAAAGGTTGATCAGATTCATTATCTCATTATGTCAGCGACACGTTGAGGCAAATATCAGGTTATCAGAATCATCATTAGTATTACCTCCAGTTTGGATATGAGAAAACTGCAGTTCAGAGAAGTAGAGTGACTTTTTCAAGATCACAGAGCTGGCTAGTGGCAGAATTGGGACTAGGATTCCAAATCTTTATAAAATTCTATTTAATTTCAATAAACAATGCATTCATTAAATGTCACAGAAATTAAAGTTAAATATCTTTAAAGCAGAATAGAGAGTGTCATTTAGATTTTGTCTATGGGATTTTCATATTCTAAGTGATGGATATGTGGTGCTTTCTGAAGCAGTAGAGACAAAAGTAGAGAGAGCAAAATTCATAGTCTGAGGATTTGGGTTAAAGTCTCAACTCTGTTATATGACTAGGCTAATGATCTTGAGCAAGTTATTTATTTGCTGCTACTTGGTCTCCTCATTTAAAGGAGTGGGGATCAAATCTTGTTAGGATTAAAAGGAAGAGAATGAATGAACATTGTTGAGTAAAAATCATAGGCAGGCACTCTCCTAGGAGCTTTACATATAAAGTTTTATTAAATAAGATTTATTTAATTAAATAAATTATGAATATATAAAATTTAGATATAACTTCATAAGCTATATATAATACATATATAACTTATATATCATATATTTAACTTCATACATTAAATATAATGAAATTTAACTTATGAAGGTTCTTTTGAAATTGTAAAGCAGATACTATAAAAATGCTATGTATCTATTCAGTTACAAATGAAAAGTTTATTTTTATGTGCTTTGCTAGGGCAATGACTATTGGATAAATTAAATCAGCAGACATATTGGTAGAAGATTATTGTGGGATCTGGCCAGCAGCCCACAATGCAATGGGGCTCTCTCTTTGTTCCCAGGCGGATGGATAGGCAGGTTGAGAAATAATAGACACACACAAGATAGTGAAAGCTGGGTCCAGGGGGGTCACCGCCTTCTGGTCCCGTGGTGCCAACAATGCACTGGATATACCAGCATTTATTATTAAGTTTAGTGAGGGCGGGGGTAGGTTAGTGAGGGATTTAGGGTCATTTGATTATGAGGTGAGATGGTCACATGGGGATGAAGTAATTCTTTAACATAACATTTGTATGCAGAAGTACAGTATACAGAGATAAGAATTTATAATACAGTGTGTGCATCAGTAATTTCTAACAGAGACTAAAAACAGAAACACAGTTTTTCCATAACCTATGATTAGCAAGATATTAATCAGCAGTAACAGTTGCAGCAAAAGCTGGTTACAAACAATCCATAGAAACAGGACATGAAGCTAGACAACCGGTTAGACCAGAAATTCTCAGAAGGGAGTATGCCTTAACCCTAAAGAGGCCTAGAAGAGCTGTGGCAAGATGAGGGCGTTTGTAGCCCTATCTTATCCATATAGACAGGCGACCCCCCCCGATGTGTCTGTTTATAGGCTCTCCACATGGGTCACATTCCATTCCCAGAGCTATGAACATCTGCTTTTCTGGGATAGGAATCTTGGTGATGTGAAAACTCCCTGACTGCACGTCCATTCATAGGCTCTCTGCAGGGGGAAGCACATCATGCACTGTTGGCTCGTTCTGGCAGTCCAACCTGGCATTGTCTTTACACAATCCTGCAGGCAACTTTGTATGTACAATAATCAGGAGCATTTTATCTTTTATTCCATAGCAATAGTTTCAGGGGGTCTCCCTACAGAAGATAATGCTCTGATATGTTATTCTTCACTGAGATATTTTCTTTCTTACAGGACACTTCTAAAAACACATAGCTTTATCTCCAGAAGGATGACACCATAACAGACGTATTTCAAACACTGTGCAGGCCACTTGAAGAGACATTTTTTGAATAAGGATTACTCTGGGATGACTTTCAAATGATGCTTTTTAAGAAATTGCCTGTTTTATACAATTATATGTCTGGCTTTGCTTAGTATGGTAATGTATATTGTAATATCTCAACTGGGTTACTTCTTTGAGCATTCATTAGGAACACAAGTGAGAGCAGAAAAGCAAACAGTGAAGAACCTGTAGGTATAGAATAATGTCATGTAAAGCCTATGCACTTTTTTTTTATATTTGAGATCCTCAGGGATGTATTCAATGGTTATTGACTTACTTTAGACAAAGGTTTTACAAATCTATTTGTCTTGTTTCTCCCTGTGTTAGTTATCTATTGCTGTGTAACAATATAATCACAAACATAGTGGCTTGAAACAACACTTTTTTATCACAGTTTCTGTGGACCAGGAGTCTGGGCATGGCTTAGCAAGTCCTCTGTTTAAAGCGTTGTCAAGTTGCAATTGAGGTGTTGGCTAGGGCTGTAATCTCATCTGAGGGTTGAGTCAGGGAAGGATCAACTTCCTAACTTACTCAGATTGTTGGCAGAATTCAGTCTCATGTGGCTGTAGGACTGAGAGTTTCAGTTTATAGCAGTTGACTGGAATCTGCCCTCAGCTCTTAGAGACCATCCAAAGTTTTTTGTTAAATGGAGTTCCCCATTCTAACTGGTGTGAGATGGTATCTCATTGTGGTTTTGATTTGCATTTCTCTGATGGCCAGTGATGATGAGCATTTTTTTCATGTGTTTTTTGGCTGCATAAATGTCACACCAGTTAGAATGGCAATCATTAAAAAGTCAGGAAACAACAGGTGCTGGAGAGGATGTGGAGAAATAGGAACACTTTTACACTGTTGGTGGGACTGTAAACTAGTTCAACCATTGTGGAAGTCAGTGTGGCGATTCCTCAGGGTTCTAGAACTGGAAATACCATTTGACCCAGCCATCCCATTACTGGGTATATACCCAAAGGACTATAAATCATGCTGCTATAAAGACACATGCACACGTATGTTTATTGCAGCATTATTCACAATAGCAAAGACTTGGAACCAACCCAAATGTCCAACAATGATAGACTGGATTAAGAAAATGTGGCACATATACACCATGGAATACTATGCAGCCATAAAAAATGATGAGTTCATGTCCTTTATAGGGACATGGATGAAATTGGAAATCATCATTCTCAGTAAACTATCGCAAGAACAAAAAACCAAACACCGCATATTCTCACTCATAGGTGGGAATTGAACAATGAGATCACATGGACACAGGAAGGGGAATATCACACTCTGGGGACTGTTGTGGGGTGGGGGGAGGGGGGAGGGATAGCATTGGGAGATATACCTAATGCTAGATGACGAGTTAGTGGGTGCAGCGCACCAGCATGGCACATGTATACATATGTAACTAACCTGCACAATGTGCACATGTACCCTAAAACTTAAAGTATAATAAAAAAAAAGAAAATGAGAAAAAAAATAATAAATAAAAAAAATAAATGGAGTTCCCCAACATGGCTGATTGCTTTCTCAAAGCAGCAAGGGACAAAAAGTGAGATTTGTAACATAATCATGAAATCATGTACTTGTAATCACATACATATTACCACTTTTGCTATATTCTTTTGGTTGGAAACAAGTCACAGCCCCTACCTGCACTCAAGGGAAGGAAATCACATAAAGGTGTAAACACCAAGAGGTAAAGATCATGGAGACTACCTTAAGAGACTGTCTGTAACATACCCTAAGCAGACAGTAGAAAATTAAAGGAAATTAGTTCTGTTTAGAGGCAGATACTATGGAAGTGACAGCTGTTATGTTACTTATAGTTAAGGGATTGATCTCTTTTTTTCCTCTCTACTCCTACCCTCCCTCTTCTTTTTCCTGCAAACCTCTCAATATTTATCTATACATAAAGAAAGCTAATGGTGGAAGGTATAATTTTATTTTCTGTGTCCATCTGGGTCACTGTGGCACTGAGTTGTTTGGCAAACATATGGACATCATTATAAGTACTAGAAACTCAAGGAGATAATGTATATTGATCACAACTACTCGCCTGAGGCAGACTCAGAATGTCTTGTCAGTTCAGAATTCTTTTATAATGTCATATGGTATGTGACCATCTTTTTGGCTTAGTCACTATGTCTTGATGATGCCATCAAGATGCCCTTTCACTTCCTAATACCTTTGCCCTTGTTTTTTCACTCTAAAATCTATCTTCTTTCTACTATGTATCTGTCTCTCTCTTTCTACTATCCTTTCTTCCCTCCCTCACTTCCTATAAACAACTGTTAAAAGCTCTACAAGTCTTCTACAGCCCAGACATTAATCATTACTAGCATACAACTTTCTCAGATCTTTCCAATGAGGATATTCATGGAACCCTGGACTATAGTGATACAATAAGTGTACCAGTTAGATACTGTTTATTTCAGAGACAGATAATTTCTGTGAGAGGATCTCAACTGTTGGACTTCAATTCTGAAATTTACGTATTTTGGAAAATCTCCCAGAGCTGAGTCTGTGGATTTTTTTTAATTTGATTTACAACCTTGACATATAAAGTTATTATCACATGTTATTTTCCCATAGTGAAGTAGGCCTAATTATTAGAGTGACAGAGAAAGTCATATATTTTAAAGCTCTCTGTGTGGCCAAAGGGTGCTTTTAATGAAAATTAACTTCAGCGAGACGTTTGCAATGCACATGGTGCACTACTAATATAGTAATTCATTTTATACTCTTCCTGAGAATTTAAATCCATTGTTTCATAGCAACATTATTATTATTTTATTTTACTTTAGGCTAATGGAGAGTGGATGGTATACTAGAGATTTCTCTATTTTCTGACTGTATTTTGGCATTCTTATTTTCTTAGCTATTAAATAAAAGATAAGTAGCTATAATTTTGAAGAATTAATATGATTTTATCTGCAACCAAACACTTAACTATGCTGGCATTTTCCATGGTGATTAACACTTAATTTACAAAGATGCTGAAAATATTTTAAATAAAATAAAATACTTCCAGAGTTTGGAAAATGAAATAACAAACATTTAATGCAAAGACTTTTTGACTATAACACTGCAATTGTCATATAGAAAGTTCTTTGGATGCATTGCAAATGTCAATATTAAATTATCAATCCAAACCACATAAAGAAAGCAATAAGAACTTAAATAAAAGGAACTTAAACATTAAATATGTCAGTCAGTAGATGAATAGATGCCTCATAGAGAAACATTTGGAATGCGGTTATATTCTTCAACAATCAAACTAGACAATAAAATCATAAAAATGGCATTTTATGTTTTATCTTTAAAAACTCATAAGCTGAAGATTTTAAACTTTATTAAAGATGTATACCACTGGATAAATTTAAATGCATGCATTAATGGAGTAAATGAAATATTCTGGCAATTAATAATTGTATATTACTATGAAAAGTATGAGGATGACTGTTAACTGACACCATCACTGCTTACATTTATTGAACACTTCAGTGTTTTAAGTTCTTAACACTGCTTAACTTATTGGATATTAGAAACAGCCCTCTGAGGCAGATTTGTTATCTTTAATTTTAAAAATAAAGAGTAAAATAACATTTTCACTTCATAGCATAAGTATAACCAAACCTTCATTGTCCATTGCTTAATTACTTAATTTGATCATCCATCAGATTCGATTCTTCCCCCTCTGGCCACATGCATTTTTGCCATTTTATTGGTCAAGAATATCTCCCAGAGAAGAGAGGTACATACTTTTAAAAATGATAATTGGCCGGGCAAGGTGGCTCATGCCCGTAATCCCAGCACTTTGGATGTATCACCTGAGGTCTGTAGTTCGAGACCAGCCTGGCCAACATGGTGAAACCCCATCTCTACTAAAAATACAAAATTAGCCGGGTGTGGTGGCACATGCCTGTAGTCCCAGCTATTCAGGAGGCTGAGACAAGAGAATCGCTTGAACGCGGGAGGCGGAAGTTACAGTGACCGCGCCATTGCACTCCAGTCTGGGCAACAGAGTGAGACTATGTCTCAAAAAAAAAGAAAAGAAAAAAAAAAGAAAAATGATAATTAAGGCTGTGCTGCGCAGTGACTCACACCTGTAATCCCAGTGCTTTGGGAGGCTTAGTTGGCAGGATTGCTTGAGGCCAGTGTTTCAAGACCAGTATAGGCAACATAGCGAGACCCTAAGGTCTCATCCCTACAAAAAAATTTTAAAAACTTAGCCATGCACAGTGGCATACCTGTAGCCCTAGATCCTTGGGAGATTGACATGGGAGGATAACTTGAGCCAGGAGTTTGAGGTTACAGTTGAGCTATATAATTCTGCCACTCCACTCTAGCCTGGGCGACAGAGCAAGACCCTGTCTCTAAAACAAAAAATTAAATATAGACTTACCATTTTACCTCCTGATAGTGACTCATAAGATAACTAATGTACCTATTTATCCTAGGCACAGTAACAATCTTGTCTTCTATAAACATTTATATTTTGAGGTTCAGAAACTTTAATATCAGAAGAGAACAAACTGAATGCCAAGGCATCACAATTTCATCACTGATTTGTGCAACTTTAATGGAAAGCTAATTCAGGAATTTCTTTCCCAAAGCTCAGAATATTGAAATTTAATTAATTCTTAAAATATTTTTGTGAAATTGGCAGGATTTACTAATATCGTTATTTTATGAATAGAAAGTTGATAAAAAATTTGCTGGAGATTAAATGGCAGATTTAGACTATGTAGTACATTCTAATTTTAGAAAGAACAATATAATCCTCCTATTTCTTATAAGGATAACACAATGCTAAGGTAAATATTTAGATATTTTATTATAGCAAGAATGCTTCATGTGAGATCTAGTCTTTTAACAAATTTTCAATGTACACTGCAATTCGTTAACTATAGGAAAACTGTTGTATAGTTGTATAGCAGATCTCTAGAACTTACTCATCTTGCATAACTGGAAAGTTATACCCATTGAAAAGTCACTTTTAAATATTGAAATAATAATATGTACTCATTATTAGAAATGTGTAAAAGATAGAAAAGGCATAATGAAGCAAATTAAAATAATCTGTAATTTAGAAATCATAATTCTACCACCTAGAAATAAATTCTAATAACCTGCATATTTATTTTTAATTTATAGAAAAAAGCAGAAACATAGTTCTTTTCTGAATGGTTGAGATTACTTATAGAGTGTAATTTTTTTTGTGCTTTTCACTTTATTATACATGAACGAATTTTTAAGTCTTCTAATATTTTAAAAAGATAATTTTAAATTTAAATTAAATTTTAAATTTAAATTTAAATTATAAATTTAATAGTCTTTGTAACAGAATATTATTAAGCGGTTGGAATTATTTAGTGATTTCCCTATTGTTGAGCATTTAATCACTAGTGTTACTATTTTTAATAATGTTGCATTTGGTATCTTCATACATTTTTTTGTCTTCATTTCTCCTCATTTTTGGAGGATACTGAACTTAGAAGTGTAATTATGATTTCAAAGGATCTGAATCTTTTTGTTAAGCCCTTAAACTCTGCTGATAATTACTTTACAGAATGATTGTACCAATTTAAGTTTCTACAAACACTGTAGGAAAATCATTACTTACTCATCTATATACCATTGTTAAAGTTAAACTTATTTTAATGTATTTGTTAATATTTGTTATTCTGCTTCTGAATTACCTGTTCATATCTTTTGCCCAGTTTTTCTATTAGAGTTTTAATGTTTTTCTGGTGGTATATTTGAGCTCTTTATGGTGTAAGAATATTAAGTCTTAGTTATCATTGTGGCCAGTATTTTCTTAGCTTGATATATTTTAATTTTATGATCATGATTTTCACATAAGATAATTTACATTTTATGTAGTCAATTATATTGATTATTCATTGTATCTTTTCTCTCACTGCTTTTATGTTTAATCCTTCCAAATCAGAAAAATATTTACTCAAGTTTTCTTCTAGTCTTTTTATGGTTTTATTCCATATATTTAATTCTGTAATCCTCATCAAAATTATGTTGGTATATGTTGTAAACTGAAGTACTAACTTAAATTTTTCTGAATAGCTGTTTTTATCAATTATTTATTGAAAAATTTATCTCTTTACTACTGATTTGGGATGTTCCCTTTATTATATCTTACTGACACACATGGATGCACACACACACATACACACACACACACGGTCTGTGGTTTATAACATTTTGCCCTTAGATCTTCTAATTAGAATCATCTTGGGTGCTTATGAAAATGCATACTCCTGGGCCATAACTCTGGAATACTTCAGTAACAATTCTACAGATGTGTCTCAGGAATACACAGGACACCAGTGATTTTTCCTCCCTTTCCAGAAATTTTACATCCTTCTCATTTATTCAGCTTGCTAGATACATATTTCAGTGAATTTATTAAAAAAATCATTGAGATACCTTTACTTAGTTCCTGATGGGAGTTATATGAAACTATATATTAATTTGTAAAGCAGTGGCAAATTTGTGATAGTTTTATCTGGGTACATAGTATGTCTTGCCATTTGTTAATGTCTTCCTTTTTATAAAAGACTTAAATGAAAGTCCTCATATACTTTAGAATGGTACTTCTATTTTTTTTTTAAATATCAGCTGAATGCTTATGTTTAGGCCAGTTTATATGACTATACCTAATATTTTCTCTTCATTTAAAATATCATTTCAGTTTTTCTTTAGCCCAGTGACTTTCTTCTTCTTCTCAATGAATTTATCATATTTTCCCTTTTTTATTTCCCTATCTTCGTATTGCTATCTTTATATGAAGACCTCAAGGGCAGAGATTTTGTCTGATTATTTTCCAATTCATTTCCTTTACTTTTCAACATCTAGTGCTATGCCTAACACAAACAATTGTCCAGCAGATATTTCGTAAATTATATTGAATTCTCATCACCAATTTCTAGACCTCAAAACGAAATAGCCATGAGTGAATTAATACTTATGCTCCTGGGACATTTGAAAATATCCTGAATTGAAGTTCTTATAAATATTCTTTCATTCAACATTCATTTAACCAATTATTTAATGAATTCCTATTATGAGTCATGCATTATGCTAGGAACATGAGTCTATAAACATAAAGAAGAAAATCTTTTATCATCAAAACTTTTACTGGCGTTGGGGAGAGAAAAATTTGTAAGTAAATAATTGAAATCCAATGTATTATAACAGAGATGTGTAAAAATTCTATCAAATATTTCTCAATACTTGTGGCAGTTAATTTATAGTTTTGTTCAGTAGAAGTGTTAGCACTTTCTTAGACATGATTGGAATCCTAGGTTCTCTTTAAAACCAACTGTTGTGTAACTTTGGACAAGTTACTGCCTCTCTGAAAATCATTTACTCACCTAAAATGAAGATAATCATATCTGATTTTAAATGAATTGCATAGGTAAATTGAAGTACATATCTTATACAAAATTAATTATCTTGTCTTCTTTGTGAGAAGATCTTGGGTAATTTAACTTAAATCCGTTTTCAATTTTTTGTTATGGGGAGAACTTATAAGTGAGAGTATTCTGTACATTAAATTGCTTTTTCTATGTATCGGCAAAAAAAATGACAATATTTTTTATTTTAGTGGTGAGAATCCGTCTCTTCAACTTGCAGAGTGCCTGTGTTCTGAAGGAGCAAAATATGACAAACACAGTCATGTTGTTTTCACTCTTTTGATTCTCACTTATTCTTCAATTTTGCCAAGCTGTTTTCCACTTTTACTCACTACTTTCCTGAAAATGTTCTTTTCAAAGTCATCAGTGATCATCATGTGGCTAAATTTAAAGCACATTTCTATCCTCACGATAATTGATTTCAGTAGCTTTCAACATAGACTTCTCTCTTTCTTGAATCAGTCTTCTTTTTTGGATTCTTCAATAACTCACACTTCTGATTTTCCTTCAGTCATACATGCTACCCCCTATTGATCTCTTTTATTGGATCCTCTTCTAATAAAATCCTAAGAGTTAGATTTCCTCAGATCACAGTTCTAGTCTCTTTTCTCTGTTTTATCATCCTTTTAATTTACTATTCCTAAATTTAAATTTCTTACCTAGACCTCTTAACTTCAGATTTGCATGTTCAGCTGTCTGCTTAACATCTTCACTTGTGTTATCATAGACATTAAAAAAAATGAGATCCAAAGTAGAATTCTAGATTTTTTCCTTTGAACCCATTCCCCATCATTATGTTGAGACCTACTATTTACGCAGATGCTCAAGCCAGAAATATGGATGTCAACCAGTTCTTCCTTTAACTCACCTGTGGTATTCACTCCATCTAAATTTACCTTCAGAGCAGCAGTCTGTATGCTTTTCTTCAGTTCTATTATTATTATTCTACTCCAACAGATTATTTTGTGTTTAAGGAAGCAAGTGAGTACCCTGGTGTGCTCAAAGACTGGGAGACATGGAGGAACATGGTCAGAGAAGCTAGAAATCCGTTTAGTATCAACGGATAGAGCACCCACTATGCTATTCTGTTTAAACTTAATTTTGTAGTTGATAAGAATTATCCAAAGAAATTAGAAACAGAAATTTGAGTACCAGATATATGTCAGATACTGTTTGGAGGTCTGGGACTACAACTATCACCAAAAACTGACAAAGTTCTTGTTCTCATAGATCTGATATTTTTGTGTGGGAGATAGTCCATAAAAATATTTAAATATCAGGTGATGAAGAGTGCTTTGAATAAAAATAAGAGGATAGAGAGTAATGGACTTCCATTGTTTGGTTAGGTGGTAGTCATTTATGCAACAAATAATGATTTTGTGTTTTCATTAAAAGCTTTTATGTATGCACTAATAATTTCTCCTTAGTCTAACCATATGAAATGCATATTATTATTCTCATTAAACAAATAAGAAATTTGAGTCTAGAAAGATTTACCCACATTTATGAGTCTAACAAATCTTCATATCCTATTACTTGACTTAAAGCTTAAGTCTGTTTTACGCCTATACCTACTGAATTTCTACTATATTCCTCTTACCTTTTTGCCAGAACCATTGCCCTTGAGACAGTTTGGAGGTTGGATGGGTATGTGTGATTGAGTAAGGGTTGCATCTTGGAGACCAGTGACAAGAGCATTTTAACAGTTCATAAGAAATATAATAAAAACCTGAGGTAAGAAAGAAAGGACTTGATTTATTTACCAAAAAATACATAAAGGCAAATACATTGTTTGCCACTGGACCTGTGTAAAGCACCCAGCTATCTTCTGGCTTTCAGTAGTTTTCTGTTTATTTCCATAATCACAAAATGATTTATAATATTTAGGAGACCATAATCATTCTGTTACTTTTCATCTCCACAAAATGCCATTTGACTACACTTCAAAGTTTATATATACTTCTGCTCTGGTTTATAATATAATCTATAATTTGCTCCTGGTTTAAGTGAGTACATCTTTATTTCTCCAGTTACCAAGAGTTGTGGACTGTTAATCTTGTGTAGCTGCTGTTTTTTTAATATATTCTCTATCAGGAAGCTATGCTAAATTGGTTCCTTTTTATAATAAATATAAAATGAGAAGTTTTAAAATTCTAATAAATCTATAAGTTGCTGATCCATAAACATGGCTCCCCCGAAGCTAGTGGGAATTCTCTCAAACTATACTCTTGTTACTTTGTGATGTAATACCACCATATTATAAAAAGGAAGACAAGTGATGAAAGTTACCCAGGAGAATATGTCCGTGATGCTGCTGGGCATGCAAATTTTGTCAGCATTTCTTGTAGTAATTTTATAAATAGAAAATTTACTGGGGTAATTTTATGTTGTAGGTATTTACATATGTCATTTATTTAATACAAATTTATTGAGTACATTCTATATTTCAGACATAATGCTAGGCGTAGGGTGTACATAAGTGAAAAAAATGTGGTTCCTACCCTTAAAGAGCTAATATCTGGTGGCAGAAATGCAATATGAAATTAATGAACACACATATAATTTCATGTTGTGAGAAATGTTATGAAAGAGGGAAAGAATTTAGTAATAAAGATATCAAAGAAACTTTTAGGTTAGTTAAGAGAGTCTTCTATCATGAGATAAGCTTTAAACTGAGACCTAAAAGATAGTAGGGATCTGTGAGAAGGCAGGGATGGAGACAGCACAGAGAATGGTCTTGATGTAGGATATGTTTGTTTTAGGAACTGAAAAGAGGTTCATTAGGTGAGGGAGTGGCAAAAGATGAAACTATAAAGATAGACAAGGATTAGATTATGTAGTGTCTCATAGACCATAGTAAAGGGTTTGTGGTTCATTTGATGTGTATTGGGAAACCATTGAAGAGATATAGGCAGGAAACTGAAATGACCTGATTTTGGGGAAGACAATACTATATGGAAGGTGGAAATTTTGGTAGAAATTGTAATGGGCTATTAGAATTGAACTACACTAAGGCAGAAAATTTTACAGTAGGTGTCTAACATATATATGTATATAACATACATATATCCATGTAGACATGGATATGCATATATTTAGTATTCCATTTTATTTTCTATATTGGCTTCTTAGCTATACCTCTATTTATATTAATATACTAATCTATCCATACATTCATTCATTCATTTATCGCAGTTGCTCTAGGGCTAACAATATGCATGCTTCACTTATGAAAGTCTAGAGCCAATATTATATCACTTTACATTTCACACTTCTTATATCACACTTTCTACTTCCTATTTCACACTTGATACTTCATACTTCACACTTCCCATTTCATACTTCAAAACTGTAAAAACCTTATAACAGTCTAATTCCATTTTCCTGTCCTGCCCCATTCTTTGGATATTGTTATTATATGTTTTATATTTTGTACATTATAAAGCTCACTACAATGTCAATATTTTAGCTTCTATCAGTCAATTGGCTATTAAGACAATTACACATTAAAAACATCTTTAAAATATAGTCGATTATCTGCCATTTCTGTTGTTACTCTTTCTTGTAGATACAGGTTTTCACCTGGCTTTCCTTTAGATTTGAGTTTCTATCAACCTGGAAAACATCTTACACATTTCTTATTGTGCAGATATGCATCTTCTGGCACTGAATCCCCTCTGTTTTTGCTTATATAAAATTGTCTTCATTTCACTCTTGTTTTAAAGGATATTTTCACTTGATATAGAATTCTGGATTGAAATGATTTTTTGTTTAATTTTTCTTTTAACACTACTAGCATTATTCAATTGCTGTATAAACTCAATTGATAATTTTTTTAATTCAACTGTTATTTATTATCACTCATCCCCTTTGCAGGCAGTATATCTGTTTTCCCTGTGCTTTTAAGATTTTTACCTTTATCTTTGGTTTTAAGTACTTCAAGTATGATCTGCATAGATTGAACTTGTTTTTGGTATTTATCTTGCCTTGCTTGGGGTTTACTGAGCTTCTTTTTTTTTTTTTTTTTTTGAGATAGAATCTCACTCTGTCACCCAGGCTGGAATGCAGTCATGCGATCTCAGCTCACTGCAACCTCCACCTCCTGGGTTCAAGCGATTCTTCTGCCTCAGCCTCCCGAGTAGTTGACACTACAGGCTCGCACCATCACTCCTGGCTAATTTTTGTATTTTTAGTAGGGGGTGAGGGCAGGCTGGTCTTGAACTCTTGACCTTGTGATCCACCCGCCTTGGCCTCCCAAAGTGCTGGGATTACAGGCGTGAGCCACCGTGCCTGGCCTTAAATAGGGAATCCTTTCCCCATTGCTTTTTTTGTCAGGTTTGTCAAAGATCAGATGGTTGTAGATGTGTGGCGTTATTTCTCAAGCCTCTCTTCTGTTCCATTGGTCTATATATCTGTTTTTGGTACCAGTACCATGCTGTTTGGTTACTGTAGCCTTGTAGTATAGTTTGAAGTCAGGTAGCATGATGCCTCCAGCTTTGTTCTTTTTGCTTAGGATTGTCTTGGCTATACGGGCTCTTTTTTGGTTCCTTATGACATGTAAAGTAGTATTTTCTAATTCTGTGAAGAAAGTCAATGGTAGCCTGAAGAGGATAGCATTGAATCTATAAATTACTTTGTTCTGTATGGCCATTTTCATGATACTGATTGTTCCTATCCATGAGCGTGGAATGTTTTCTCATTTGTGTCCTCTCTTATTTCCTTGAGCAGTGGTTTGTAGTTCTCCTTGAAGAGGTCCTTCACATCCCTTGTAAGTTGTATTCCTAGGTATTTTATTATCTTTGTAGCAATCATGAATGGGAGTTCACTCATGAATTGGCTCTCTGTTTATCTATTATTGGTGTATAGGAATGCTTGTGATTTTTGCACATCAATTTTGTATCTTGAGACTTTGCTGAAGTTGCTTATCAGCTTAAGGACTTTTTGGGCTGAGATGATGGGGTTTTCTAAACATACAATCATGTCATCTGCAAACAGAGACAATTTGACTTCCTCTCTTCCTATTTGAATACACTTCATTTGTTTCCAGCATCATTTTTATACCATAACCTGGCAGAGACACAACAAAAAAAGAAAACTTCAGTCCAATATCCCTGATGAACATTGATGCAAAAATCCTCAATAAAATACTGGCACATCGAATCCAGCAGCACATTAAAAAGCTTATCCAGCACGATCAAGTCAGCTTCATCCCTGGGATGCAAGGCTGGTTCAACATACTCAAATCAATAAATGTAATCCATCACATAAACAGAACCAATGACAAAAACCACAGAGTATCTCAATAGATGCAGAAAAGGCCTTTGATAAAATTCAACACCGCTTCATGCTCAAAACTCTCAATAAACTAGGTATTGATGGAATGTATCTCAAAATAATAAGGGCTATTTATGACAGACCCACAGCCAATATCATACTGAATGGGCAAATGCCGGAAGCATTCTCTTTGAAAACCAGCACAAGACAAGGATGCCCTCTCTCACCACTCTTATTCAACATATTATTGGAAGTTCTGGCTAGGGCAATCAGGCATTATTTCGTAAAATATTCTTTTTACCACATTGTCTCTTTTTTGTTTGGAACTCTTATTACATGCTTGTTATTTTCCCATGCGTCCACGAAGCTTTGTTAACTTTTCTTCAACTTAATTTCTCTGTGTTATTCAGAGCAGATATTTTGTAATAGTTTCTTTTTATTCTGATGTTTCTAATCTGTTTTTCAGCCCATTTCATGAATTTTTAAATTTCCATCATTGTAAGTTTTAGGTCTATAATTTCCATTTGTTTCTTTTTATAGATTTGAGTTTTCTGTATAAGATTCTCTATTTGTTCATTCTTTTATTCTTTGAAATTTTTTTAGTTATTTGAAGATATTTATAATATGCTCTTTGTTTCCAAAAGCCCAAATCTGGGCCATCTCGGTGTCCATCTGTATTGATGGAGTTTTTTTCTTTTCATTTTTCTTTGTATATCTAGAAATATTTTGTTATAAATTGGACATTGTAGATGTTTTTTGTAGAAATTCTTGGTTCTTTTTTTATCCTCTGTTTTTGTTCTAGTGTGCAGTTCAGTTTTTGGCTGATCACCTTGACATTATATAGACTTAGTTATGTGCTTTGTAAAGGCAGATCTGTGGAATGTCTAAGCGGTTTTCCAAGTGTCTGTAACTTGGGGCTTGTGCAGAAAAGAATTAACTCAGCATTTATGAGTTTCTCAAAGTTTGCATATCCCCAAGAAAAGTCCTTTGTGTGTGACTGACCTTTGCCTAGCTCCCAGAATGCTCTTAGAACTTTGCATATTCTCAAGAAGATCCTTTTTGTGTGACCGGCCTTTGCCTGGCTCCTTGAATGTCCTGATAGGAATGTTCTGCATGCTTGGTTTTTGGAAATATTGTACTTGCTTGTTTAGATAGTTTATGTAAAAAATATAATTTATGGTGGACATCTGCTTTTTTTTTTCTGGGGGTTTGGAAGTTCAGTGACTGACACCCCCTTCCCCGCAAAAAAGGCCCCTGGGTTTCTATGTGCAGGCGAGCTGGTAGGCAACAATTCTCATGTGTTGTCACAGTTCATTGTTGGAGGAATTAGGTGTGTCCTGTGTGACTTCACTGGGAAAGTGCTTTTAGAAGCTCCTGCCTGGTTTTCTCCAGACTTCACCCCGTGTGGTTTTCCCCTTTGCTGACTTTGCTTTGTGTCCTTTCACTGTAACAAACTGTAATTGAGCATAACTTATTCTGAGTCCTCTGAGTCTTTCTAGTGACCTATCAAACCTGAGAGTGATCTTGGAAACTCCCGACATAGTACTCAACCTACAAACTCTGTCTTTCCTCACGTTTTTGTCTGGGGTTGGTTTCAATTTTTTTTTTTTTTTTTTGAGACAGAGTCTCGCTCTGTCGCCCAGGCTGGAGTGCAGTGGCTTGATCTCGGCTCGCTGCAAGCTCCGCCTCCCAGGTTCACGCCATTCTCCTGCCTCAGCCTCCCTAGTAGCTGGGACTACAGGCGTCCGCCACCACGCCCGGCTAATTTTTCTGTATTTTTAGTGGAGACGGGGTTTTACCGTGTTAGCCAGGATGGTCTTGATTTCCTGACCTCGTGATCCACCTGCCTCCGCCTCCCAAAGTGCTGGGATTATAGGCGTGAGCCACTGCGCCCGGCCAATCTTTGTTAGGGTGCGTCTAGATTGAGTTGTAGTTTATCACGTGATATGTCCGCCCTTCTCTTTTCTCAGCTGGTTTCCAAGGGTGTTAGCGAAATGTTTAAAATGTCGCTATATGCAGGCTGGGCTTCATCCCCTGTTTCACTGTTACAGGGGGGACTTAGGGAGCGTGTCAGTGGAATCTTGTACAGTATTGAAGGAACTATAGAAACAAAACTACCTTTGAGAAGGCTTTAGGTGAAGGCATAAAGGAAAATGAGAAAAACCTTGTTGGAAACTTGATGAAAGAGGGTTCTTGTTATGTAGTGATGGAAAATTTACCAACACTGCCACTGCAGTAATGTAGAAAGTAGAAAGTGCACTGAGTGAACTGAGTGATGTAGCTGAGGAAATTTCTAAGCAGAATGTTGGAAACACTGCCTGTTTTTTTTCTTGATACCTATAGTAAAATTTGAGAAAAGGGAGATAAACTAAAGCAAGCACTGTTAAATATAAAGGATCCAGGGCTTTATGGTTTAAAAAATGTCCAGTATTTATAGATGACAAATGTTTCTAAAATTTATCATCTTAGGTAAAGATACAATTCAGGGCACTCTAGAAAAACTTTGTCTGGAGATGAAACTGAGGATGTGATTGTAAAATCCCTGGTTGAGACCTCAGAAAGATGAAAGGTGGTGCTTCAGAGTACTAAGTTGAATAAAAATCATCTAAATATTTTAAAGGTATACTTAACCTTTAAAATAAGTGTTCTCAATGAAACAATGGAAGCTTGTTAAGAAGCTCAGAGATATTGTTACTCAGCAGAAATTCAAGGTAGAAAAGTGTTTGTCCCAGAGACCCATAGAAACTGTGGGATAATAAATATTTCTTACTTTAAGGTGCTAAATTGTGAGATAATTGTATTATGCAGCAATAGATAGCTCATAACCGTAAGATAAAATGTTAAGTAGAAAAATGCTGTGACACTATATACATAGTTTGATCTCAGCCATGTAAAATATGAGTATTTGTAGAAAAAGATATGAAAAGGTTAGCTTCAGATGGTAGCGAGGATTCTCTCTGCATCATGGAATTTGGGGTATTTATTTTTTCATGTATTTATTTGTATTTTGCTATTCTTGTAATCCAGAAAACATTTCCCTTTGTTTTCTGGAATATTTTGTAAAAGCATCAATGGGATGGATAACGGTTTAGGTAATGTTCTGCTTTCATATTTGACAATGTCACTGACGCTAATGAGAAGACAGTCCTTTTTTCTTCCTGATACCTTTTCCCATAACGTAGGTGGGTCTAGCCTCAGGAAATATATATATATATATATATATATTTTTTTTTTCCTGGGATTTCTCATGTACTCTGAAATTGTGCATATTGATTTTTGGTGATTCTGAGAGGTATGTAATGACAACGCTCATTTTTGTAACACTTTTTTCTAGCCTAGGTTGTTGTTGTTCTTCCTATTGGGAAGATACAGAGAGGGCTAAATTTTGTGAGTAGGTGGCATATGGGATTAAAAGGAAAACCATTGGAAATAGTTTTCAACAGTTGTTAGTTGAAATTCAATTTGGGCCACAGAATTTGCAATAAGATTAAAAATCCCATTGTATATGTTTTCAGAACATCATTGTTATCATTGCCACCCTGAAATAGGATATTAATACCATAGTTGTGGAGTGGTATTAGTGGTATTCAGCAAATTTCTAATTGTAACAATAGTAATAAATGATTTAAAAAATTTCTAAATTAAAATTTTTATTTGTAATTGTCAAATAGTAATATATACTTATGGGGTAAAACACTTAGATATATGTATATACATTGTGGAATGATTATGTCAAACTAATTAACATATCCATCACCTCACATATTTGTCATTTTTTTGTAGAGAGAACATTTTAACATACATTCTTTTAGTAATTTTGTAACATACATTATCATTTCTAATGTCACCTTGCTGTGGGATAGATATTGAAACTTATTTCTCTTTGGTCAGATAGAAGCTTTGTACTCTTTGGTCAGGTTCTGTCTATCTCTCACCTTCCCACTCATCCCCAGCTACTGGTAGCCACCATTCTACTATCTACTTCTATAAATTCTAGTCTTTTAGAGTCACCTATAAAAAGTAAAAAATATAAATGCTTTGGTTTATTAAGTTGCCACTTTGCTTTCAGATGAATACTTTACAGATATTTTTCAAAACCTATAAATTACTCTGCATGTTAGGTTTAATTATCTTTGTTTTATGAGTAAGTAAACTGAGGTTATAATGCTATTATTTGCTTGGCAGAGCAAGGATTTGTGGTTATCCTATTGGGTGTGAAGAAGTATCTCATTGTGGTTTTGATTTGCATTTCATTAATCACTAATTGTGTTGAATATCTTTTAATGTATTTGTTTTCCATTTGTATATATTTTTTATTTTTTATTGGGTCATTTATCTTTTTATTATTAACTGTAAGAGTTCTTTATATGTGCTGGATATAAGTCTTTAAAATTATTTTCCTATTCTGTGGCTTGTGTTTTCATTTTCTTCATAGTATCACTTGTTGCACAGAATTTGGATGAAGTCAAATTTATCGTTTTTAAATTTTGTTACTTGTGCTATTGGTGTGACATTGAAAAATTATTGCCTGATCCGAGATCATGAAGACTTGCACCTATGTTTTCTTATTAGTTTTAGCTCTTACATTTAGATGTTTGATCTGTTTTGAGTTCATTTTAGTGTGTGGTTTGAGAAAGGGGTCTAACTCCATCATTTGTGGTTTGAGGAAGGGTTCCAACTGCATAATTTTGTGAGTAGATATCCAGTTTTTCAGTATAGTTCATTGAAGAGACTTGTTTTCTCTATCAAATGGTCTTGGCACCTGTGTCAAAAATCAATTGACCATAAATGTAAGGATTTATTTCTGGACTCTCAGTTCTATTCCATTGATATAGATGTCTATTCTTATGTCAGTACCATATTGTATTGATTACTGTAGCTTTGAAACAAGTTTTGAAATAGGGAAGGGTGCAACATGCAACTTTGTTCTTCTTTTGCAAGGTTATTCTGACTGTTCTGAGTCCCTTGCATTTCTATATAAAGTTTTGAACAAAATTGCCAATTTCTGCAAGAATAGCAGCTGTAATTGTGTTTGGGATTGATCAATCTCAGGAGTACTGCCATCTTAATATTAAGACTTTTGATCTATGACCATGAGATATCTTTACATTTATTTACATTTTCTTTGTTTACTTTTCACAATATTTTGTAGTTTTCAGTGTACAAACCCTTACATTTATTTTGTTAAATTTATTCCTAAGTATTTGTGATGCTCTTGCCAATGTAATTGTTTTCTTATTTTCAATTTTAAATTATTCATTCTAGTGTATAGAAATACAATAAATTTTTTTGGTGTGTTGATATATCCTACAACTTTGCTGAATCCATTTTTTAGCTCAAATACTTTTTTTATTGGATTCTTTAGGATTTTCTATATATAGTATCATGTTATTTGCAAATAGAGATCATTTCATTTTCTCCTTTCTACTGTGAATGCCTTTTATTTCTTTATTCTTGCCTATTTGCCCTGGTTAGAACCTTCAGTACAATGTTGAATTCAAGTGGTAAGAACTGACATCCTTATCTTGTTTGTGATATTAAGGGAAAAGTAGCCGTCTTTCACTATTAAGTATGATATTAGTTGTGGGCTTTTTAGTAGAAGCTCTTTATCAGGTTGAGAGAGTACCTTTACATTCCTAGTTTGTTGAGGGGGTTTGATTTTGACGGATACTTTTTATGCATCTATTGCAATGACCATTTGATTTTTTTTGTCCTTTACCCTATTACTGTGGTATATTAATTTATTTTCAAACAACCTTGCATGCCTGGAATAAATTCAATTTGGTAATGATATCAATCCTTTTTATATTTTGCTAGATTTTGTTTGCTAGTGTTTTGTTAATGATTGATAAAAGATATTGATCTTTAGTTTTCTTTTCTGGTGATATTTTTATGAGAAGTTTGAAAATACTAATTCATTCTTTATCTTAACCAGTTCAGGCTGCTATAATAAAATACCATAGACTGGGTTGCTCATAAACATCACATACTTATTTCTCATAGTTTTGAAGGTTGAGGAGTACAAGACCAGGCATGAGCAAATTCAGTGTCTGGCAAGGGCCCATATGTGGTGCCTTCTTGCTATGTACTGACATTATGGAAAAAAAAAAAACAGGTTTCTGGGGCCTCTTATATAAGGGCACTGTCTTAGTCTGTTTTGTGCTGCTATTATATAACAGAATATCACTGACTGAATAATTTGCAATAAACAGAAATTTATTGGTTTATGGCTCTGGAAGCTGGAAAGTCCAAGATTGAGGGGCGAGCATCTGGCAAGGGACTTCTTGCTGCATCATCTCATGGCAGAAGGGCAAAGAGAGTGCAAGAGAAAAGAACAAGGAGACAAAAAAGAACTGAACTTGTCCTTTCATAAGGAACTGCTTCTGCAGTAATGCACCCACACCCATGATAATGACATTAACCCATTCACTTCACACTCTTGGCCTAATTACCTCTCATTAGACCCCACTTACCAACACTGTGCATTGGCTATTAAGTTTCCAACACGTGCTTTTTGGGGGAACACATTTAAACCATAGCAGACACTAATCTCACTCATGAGAACTTCTACTTACTTCTTAAAGATGCTACCTCCTAGTACATCACATGGAGGATTCGGATTTTAACCTGAATTTTGGGAGGGACAGAAATGTTCAGACAATCTTAATCTTTTTATCATCTATAGATGCATTCATATTTTATACTCCTTCTTGAGTCTGTTTTGATAGTTTGTGTATTGCTAGAAACTTCTTTATTTTATCTCAGTTATTTAATATTTTGGCAGACAGTTGTTCATAGTATGATCTTATAATTCTTTTTATTTAAGGTTGTTAGTGATGCCTCATCTTTTTATTCTTAATTTTAATAGTTTGTGTCTTTGTTCTTTCTTGGTCATTCTAGCTAAAGTTTTTGGTTTTTGTTGATCTTTTCAATGAACTAACTTTTGGTTTTATTGACTTTCTTTCTTGTTTTTCTAGCCTCTGCTTCATTCATTTATACTCCAATCTTCATTATTTTCTTTCTTCTGCTTGCTTTAGATTAGTTTGCTCTACTTTTTCTAGTTTCATAAGGTGATGCTTATGTCATTGATTTTGAGATATTCTTATTTAAAAATATAAGAGCTTAAAGTTATAAATTTCTCTCTAAGCACTGCTTTAGCTGTACCCTACATGTTCGTTGAAATCAAAGTATTTTCTAATTTCCCTTGTAATCTCTTTTTTGACCCATTAATTATTTAGGAATGTATTGTTTAGTTTTCACATATTTATACATTCCTAAAATTCTCCTGTGTGTTAACTTGTAATTTAGTTTCATTGTGTCTAGAAAGTATATTTCAGAGGATGTCAAACTTCAAAAATTTATTGATACTTTTATATTATGACCTAAAATGTGCCTTAACCTAGAGAATGTTCTGTGTGTACTTCGTGAAATTGTATACTCTGCTGCTGTTGGGTGGAGTATGCTAGAAATGCCTTTTAGGTCTACTTGCTTTATAGTGTTATGTTTTCTCTGTCCTTGTTCTTTTCAATTTTCCTACCCCTCATTGAAAATGGCGTATTGCAGTCCCTAAATATGATTGTTGAATTGTCCCTTTCTCCTTTTTAATTCTGTCATGTTTTGCTTCATATATTTTGGAGTTCTCTTGTAAGGGGTGTATATGTGCATATATTATATATAATTGGTATATTTTCCCTCTTTATCTCTAATAATATTGTTTTTTTAAGAGACAGGGTCTTGCTCTGTTGCTCAGGCTGGAGAGTACAGTGGTATGATCATAGCTTACTGCAACCTCAAGCTCCTAGGCTCAAGCAATCCTTCCGCCTCAGCCTCCTGAATAGCTAGGATTATAGGTGTACACCACTACACCTGGCTAAGTTTTTGTTTTTATTTTTGTAGAGATAGGATCTTGCTGAGTTGCCCAGGCTGGTCTCAAACTTCTGGCCTCAATCAGTCCTCCCGCTTTGGCCCCTCAGAGTGCTGGGATTTTAGGTGTGCGCCATCACTCTTGGCCTCTTATAACATTTTGAATTATATATTTTGTCTGATATTAGTATAGCAACTCCAGCCTTCTTTTTGTGTGGTATACCTTTTTCCACCTATTTACTTATCATCAATTTGTATCTTTGAATCTGAAGGGAGATGTTTCCTGTAGAGAGAATATAGTTAGTTGGATGTTGTTGTTTTTCCCCGGAGTTATAATGTCTGCCTTTTGATTGGATTATTTAATCCATTCATATTTAATGTTATTATTGATAGGAATTTATGTCTTTCATTTCACTTTTTGTTTTCTTTATGCCTCTTTAGTCACTGTTCCTCCTTCATTGCCATCAATTGAATTAAGTGAATATTTCCCAGTGTAATATTTTAATTTTTTAAATGACTTTTTTTCTGGTTATTTTCTTAGTGGTTGCTCTTACACTTACAATGTCCATGTTTACTTATCAGAATTTAGTTCATATTTATACTAACCTAATTCCAATGATATTGAAAATTTATACCTGTAGAGCTCCCCCTTTCTTCCCCCTTTTGTGCTATTTTAAAATCATAGTATATCTCACAGGCATTACAAACCCAACAATTCATTTTTGTAATTATTATTTTATGTAATTCTATGTATTTTAAAGAAGCTGAGAAGAGAAAGTAAATAAAGTATATATTTATAGAGTTTATTATATGAATCTTATTTATTATTTCTAGTTCTTTTAATTATTTTTGTGGATTTGAGTTATCATCAAACATCATTTTCTTTTCCAGTACAGCTTTGTTCTTGCCCACCTCTTTTGGGCTCTTATTATCAATTATATTACCTTTGTATGTATTATAAGCATGACAGTACAATTACACGTTTTTAAAAATTGCTTTAAAAATCATTTAACAGAAGAAATGAGTATAGATATACTATTGTTATGTCTTTTATAATTACCTCTGTTAGTGCTGTTTGTTTTTTCATGTGGATTCAGATTATTGTCTGGTGTAACTTGTTAAAGGAAGTTAAATAACTTCCTTTAGTATTCCTTGTAAGTAAGTTCTTCTGGCACCAAATTCACTCCATTTTTATCTGGGAATGTCTTTATTTTGCCTGGATTTTTGAAAGAGGCAAAAGTGCCCTCCATTGTTTCTGATGATAAGTCAATTATCAATCATATTGAGTTCCCTTGTATTTGATGAGTTGAATTTTTTTTTTCTGCTTTTGATATTTTCTCATTGTCTTTTTCTTTCAACGTTTTGCCTATTGTGTGTCTGAGTTTGGAGGTCTTTGCATTTATCTTACTTGCCATTCCTTAAGCTTCTGGAAGTTAGTGAGGAGTCAGGGTCCAGGCCAAAATTCTCTGTGTAGCCTTTATGGCCCAACTACAGGCAATTATAAGGATTTTCCTGGCAAGCTTCATGGGGAAAACTGCATTCCCTACATCAGACTTGATGCACAGCTAATTTACGTTTTGGGGAAGGAGTTTCAGGGACTCAGATCTCCCATGCCAGCCATACTCGTGTGTATGTGTGAATTCTTAGCCCAGGCACCTTCATCCAGAGACCTCCTTATTGGGGGACCTCAGCTGCGGTGGTTTTCCCACTCTTACTCAGTGCTTTTCCATTTCTTTCCCCTCTTCCTCTCCCAGCCTCTCCTTTCCTCTACAGAAAGGCAGGAACCTTTTGTTAAGGGCTCCTCAGCAATGAAACACATCCCCCTGCCTGTACTACATGTTACCACCTTACCGTTGGTGTTCTCCAGTAGGAAAACACTGGAGAGCTGGCACCATTTTATTTTCCTTCTTCCTTGCACTGTTGCAGTAGGTGAATAAAGCCTTGATTGTTACTTTCAGTTTGCTCATGGTATTCATTAACCATTTTGACATTTAGGATCACATTTAGGAAGTTTTCAGCTAGCATTTCTTCAAATACTTTGTAATCTTGTTTCAACTTAGGTGTGCACATAGTCTCCTTGACCACCAGGAATAAGGAGTGCTATTTTATAGCATTAATTGTTTTGAGCACCTTGATTTCAGCTCAGCTCTTTCTTATTATCCCTTTCTCTGGTCTGCTTCTATTGATATAATTTTCTGTTCTTAGCCACCAATAATTGCTATCTGATTGTTGTATGTTTTGGTAGTGCTCTGAGTATAAATTTTTTTCCATGCTGGCAGCATCTTTTAAATTTAATTTAATTTTAGATTCAGGGGATACATGTGCATGTTTGTTACATGAATATATTGCATACTGGTGGAGATTGGGCTTATAGTATAACCATAACCCAAATAGTAAATATTATACGTGTTAGTTTTCAACCCTTGCCTCCCTCCCAACTTCCCCCCTTTTGGAGTTCCCAGTGTGTACAGTTTCCATTTTTATGTTCATGTGCACCCATTGTTTAGCTCCCACTTATGAGAACATGTTGTATTTGGTATAAATTGTTTATTCCAATTAAAGACCAACTCCCCATTGCAGAGGCAAGGCATTGTCAATCTTTGAGGCTTTCCCTTATCCAGGAGGGCTCTTTTACCTGTCTCTTTGCTAGATTTACTCTTATAAAACACTTCCTGGTCTTGCATTCCACGTATTTCTTCTAGTACCCTGGAGCTCTTAACTCCCTCTTTATTGCTCACCACCAAGTTTGCCATTGTTTTGATAATGTTATTAGGGATGAAATTCTCCATGCTTTCTTCCAAATAACATTAGTTTTGGGAAGGAGTTTCAGGGACTCAGGTATCCTGGGCCAGCCTTACTCATAGTTGCAGCTGTTGTTCTGATGGCCTGATTTTCTCCCTGGGTAGAATCTGTGTGCTACTGCATCAGGGCTGCGGGTGAGGAGAGTGGCCTGTGTGACACCTCTGTTCTATGAGTGGGGTGGTAGTTGGAGATGGCAGCACCTAGTCTTCTTGGATTGCCCATGTTGGCATAGAACTTCCACCCTATAAGGTAGCTGGGGCAAGAGTAATGCAAGCCCACTCAGCATTCTCTGCCTTGAGTAGAACTTCCATGCTGTGAGTGGAGGATGGATGGAGGATGGGAGCCCAATTATCTCAGATGTACTTGCCTGGATTAGAACTCCTTTAGTATGAAGCTTTGGGGAAAATGAGAAATGCTGATGATCTTCCCCTGCCAGGGTGAAACTAGATGAGAGCTGGGGAGAGAGACAGTGGTGTGGGATAATGGGAGCAGCTTGTGAGTCAAATACTACAGGCTTTTGCTGTTCTTAGCATGATTTAATGATCTTTGTGACTAAATGTTTCTCCATTTGCTGTATGCCTTAGGAGAAATTATAGATACTTTAAAAGGTTTCTTTTGATTTTATTTTTTTACCAGTTAAATTACTGTTTCACTGGGGAGAGTGTCTACTAATATCCACATACCACCATTCCCGGAATCCTTCCTCTTCCCTACAAAGGATTTTTATCAAAGCTTTATAGGGTAATGAAAGCAGGGAATTGCAAATGACCCAATAGCTAGTGCAAGACCATTTTCTGTTTTTTGTTTTGTTTTGTTTTTGACTAGGTACAGAAGACTTCAAGATGGTATGCATAAACTTTGGAGTGCTAGGCTGGGCTTTTCAGATGTGTCCTACATAATTAAAAACTGCTCTTCTCTTATTTTTAAGTTGTATTTTTTAGTTGTATGCCACTGACATGATACTGACTTGAGCAAAAGAAGTGCTGTAAAAAGTTTGTGCATTAAATTCTAAATATATTTTAATGATTTCTATACTTTTGATATGCTAAATTTAAACTATTACTTAAATTATACATGATTACAAAACATGAATCAATTTTGATTCTGGGATTTAAAAAAATGAATGCTGCATTTCTACAAAAGTACTGTTTGCAAGGAATTTAAACAGTGTTATAAAGCTAAATTTTAATACTTTTATGGGTCTAAATGATTATTATTTTCAAATCTGATTAATACAATTAATTCACCAGTTTCTATGAAGTAATTGTTATGTGCCTGATTTTGTGATACTTGGGAAAGGAAACTTACATTTTATGACTTATTTCTCAGCTTTCACCCTACAATCTCTAAGCTCCAGCATTTTAAATCTCATGCTATTTTCAAACACTTTTCATACCGTATGGTCCTTTCTTGTTCAACAAATAATTCATTTAATAAATATTTATTGAATACCTCTTTTGTAGTAAGCACTGTTCCATGTGCTAGAATGCTATTTTCCCTCTTCAGTTATTTATTATTTGTGAACTCATATTCTGTGCCAAATACAGTGTTAAGTGTATTTGTGTTAAATGCTGCAAATACAGTGAGGGCAAGACATGATCTGAGCTTCATGTTACTTATGGTCATGTTTGGGAGGCAGACATTAAACACATAATCAAATATATAAATATGTGGTTACAAAATCATGATAAAAGTGCTATGTATGAAAAGTATGATGTTGTGGGATCAGCACTAACAGGATATATTAGGGAGGTCAGAAAAGACCTCCTTTGATGAAATGACATTTAAAATGAAGTTTGAAAGCAAAGTGGTAGTTAGTTATGTGAAGAGCAGTGATGAAGAGTAGTTCATGCAGAGGGAAAAACATAAAAAAAGCTCTGAAATGGAGAGAACCTGCTGATTTTGAGGTTAGCAGGTAATACCCTAAGGGAACAGTAGACTAAGATGAAGCCAGAGTGGTATTTAGGACTCTCATCATATAAGGGCCTCTGAACAGTGTTAAAGATTCTGGATTATTTTGGATTTTATCTTAAGAAGGAAATCACTAGAGTGTTCTACAGAGGATGGAGATATATCCTATTTACATTTTGAGAAGTTATTTCTGGCTACTGCTAGAAAAGATATTGGAAGAATTTTTAAGACTAGAATTGGAGGAACTAGTTAGGAAGCATTGCATGATACCAGATGAAAGGTAGCCTGTGGACAACAAAGATGGAGAGAAATTATTTTTCTAAACTCTTTCATTCTTTCAGATCTAAGTCAAATATTGCTGATTCTCCCTAGGCATAACTGACCACCATTTTTTCTAAGCTTCCACCAGATTCCTGATCACACCACTTTGTAGCTACAATACGTATACTCTATTACTCAGCATTGTCATTGGTTGTTTTTGTATCTATTTCTCTCAATTTACTCTGAACTCCTTCAGAGAATGGACCTTATCTTGTTCTTCTTTGTACACCCAGTACTGTAATATACAATACTTGCTCAATATATGCATACTTCCCAAAGCCAATTCACTATTAAGAGTCAGAATTGTGATTTGAACCCAGATCTCACTGACTCTAAAGCTCACAATTTTACCACTATAATAATAAATCTTTTACTTTTCCCCTCATAATATACTCTGGTAATATTCTGTATATTATTATAGGTTATTATAAGATTGAAGTCTTTATTCATTTGTTCACACATTCATTCAGCAAACTTTTATTGAATTTCTATGATGTATAAGACACTGATAAAGTAAAAGTCTATAATATATTGATGAATTACATAGTCCTTGCCCTCAAGGAGCACATATTTAGGTGGGAAATGTAGACACATGGTAATTATAATTTAAGGCAAAATAAACTGGTTAATATTGTTATAGCTTGACCTGTTAGAAAAAACTTTGGTTTGGGGAAAAATTTATCTTTTTAAAAATGTCAAAATAAATAGAATAAGAAACAGCCCCCATACCCATACTCAGATAATATTTAATTGTACATACTTGAAAAAAATCTATTTGCACATTTATATAACTATTTTGGATCCCATTACTCATTAAAAACTAACATTTTGAACAATTGATAAAATTTAAATTAGTACTTATTGAATAACAGACACTTAGAAATCTGACATGCTTATATTGTTTTATTTAATATACACAGCAATGTTGCAAGGTAGATACCATCATTATCCCCATTTTATGGATGAGGGCACTGAGCACTGGGATAGTTAAGTGATTTACCTAACGTTAAGTGGAAGATTATGGATTAAAACTTGGGACTGTATAATTCCAGATCACGTGCTCTTAAACATTATATGATATTGCCCTTTTACTTTATTTTGAAGCTGTTTTTCTCTCATTCAATATCTTGTAAATATTTCCATTTCTATATCAATCATAGGTTTCATTTTTAATGGCTGCATCTTTATTACATTGCCTGTGTATCTCATAAATTACTTAACTATCATTGTTTCCTAATCAAGGACATTTAGGTTATTTCTAATTTATTACTATTATAAAAGATATTTAAATTAACTTTTTGTGTATTTATCCTTGTGCACTTGTCTCCTTAAGTTATGTTCCTAAAAGTGGTGTTGCTGAGTCAAAGGGTATGTATATTTTTATACTTTGTCATATGAGTCTCTGGAAAGAGTATCAGTTTATACTCTTAACAACAGTTAATGAGAATTTCGATTTCTTCATACCTTTATACTGGATTTTGCATAACCTGTCTTCACTTGTAATCAAATGAATAGGCAATTCACATAACTATTATTGCAGAATTTCTTCAGTCATGATAGAAAACTAAGTCAAAATGAGAGAAGAAAAGATATCTTTTCAATTAAGATAGAATCACAAATTTTAAAACTGGATATCTAGGCATATCTCTTAATTTTTAAAGATAAAGATTTTTAGGCAGTGACATTAGCAAGACAGCAGACTACAGTGGCCTGGCTCTCATCCCCCTCCACCTGCCCCATATAAAGGAACCAAAACATTGAATAAACAACTATATTTCAACAGGGTGGACAGAGTAAGTGTTCTGGAGAGCACCAGGGGAATTGCAAAACCCCTGTGGAGCATGGAAGCCAGGATACCTCCAAAGAGTGTGGAGCAAATCATCCTGCCTCTGCCACACTATTTCCCCTGCCAGGAGCAGATCAGAACTGGGGATACTTCTACTTATGGGGAAAAGGTAAGCTGGAGACTTTTAGTGGTCCCTATCACTGTTGCAGACGCCAGCAGTTATTGCTACAGGGTGGTCCTCCAATCCTCACAGACCTTGAGTCCAATTTGGACAATTGCCAGGAATACACACAGGTGCATTCCCCGGAAGAGAAATTTCCTTGACACCCTTGCTCATGAGACATACATTTCTATGGCATGGCATCATCTTGAAACTGGACCTACATCTGGAGTGTGTCCTGCTTTGAGGCCAGTAGCCACTAAACCATTCTACCGCTTACGTGCCACAGTCATTTCACTAAATTCACATAGGTGCCTACAGCACCAATACTCCAGCTGTCTAGAACCTAGGCCCAAAGGAATGACTGGGACTCTGATGTCTGAACAGATGAGGCATCCTGTCACCCAGGGAAACAGGCAAGCATGCACAGTGGAGAGGCTCCTTGCAGCTGCTGGGCCTGTGTGCACCCATTCTTGGCTTGAGAACTGGACCAGAAGTAGCACCACTCCGTTGGAGAGGGTTACACACAGCTGCCTGATCTGCTCATGATCACCCCTGGCCTGATAGTGAGTCTGGCAGTGGCCTTGCCATTCCAGAGTCAGACACACAACCTTCTAGCCTACTGCACCCCCATGTGCCTGGCCAACAGGGAACCCTGCCCCAGCAAAACCAACCCACCACAAATGCAGCCTGGGCCACTGAGATATCACAGGTGTTGCAGATGAGGATTACAGCTGAAGAATCTGTTACAGAGACCAGTTCTACTGAGTCCACCCAGAGCTGAAGCCACACAGTGTTTCCGGTTGACACCCTAGGGTCCATCTACAGGAAAAGCTACCAAAGCTACTCCATAAAATGGAAAAAAGCAACACTTCCACTCGATGTGCAGATATGTAGAGTCACAAGAAACTTGAAAAAGCAAGGAAACATGACATTCCCAAAGGAATACAATAAGTTTCCAGTAACAGGTCCTAAAGAAAAGGATATTTATAAACATCCTAACAAGACGATAAGGACAAACAAGTCAGTAAAATCAGGAAAACAATTCATGATCTGAATGAGAAATTCAAACAAAGAGGTATCATAAAAAAGAGCCAAACAAATATGAGAGCTTACTATTTCAAAGAATGGAATAAAAAATACAATGGAGACCGTCAACAATGTACTAGCCGAAACAGAAGAAAGAAATCCTGAACTTGAAGACGTGATTTTGAAATAGTGAGAGGATAAAAAAGAATGATTAAAAAAGAATGAAGAAGGCCTACAGAACTTATGAGACGCTATTAAGTGATCAAACATTTACACTATAGAGTGTCAGAAAAAGAAGAAATGGAGAGAGATACAGAAGACCTATTTAACAAAATAATAGTGGAATCTTCTCATGTCTTTTGAGAGATATGGACATTCAGATACAGGAGGCTCAAAGGTCCCTAGTAAGAATCAATAAAAAAATCCTCTTTAAGGCACATTTTAATCATAATGTCTAAGTCAAAGACAGAGACAGAATCTAAAAGAGAAGAATGTGAAGTCACATATAAGAGAATCCTCATTAGATTGTCAGCAGAGTTCTCAGCAGAAACCTTGCTAGCCAGCAGAGAATAGCATGATATATTCAAAGTGCTGAAAGAAGAAAATCATGAGCAAAGAATACTATATCCATACGTCAGGAATAAAAGAGAACTAAAGACCTTCCCAGACAAGTAACAACTGAGTATCTCTCATCAATAGACTGGCCTTACAAGAAATACTTAAAGTAGGGCTACGCAAAACAAAAAACAGTAATTAATATCATGAAAGCATGTGAAAAGTAGTAAATGCACTAGTATAGGTAAGTGCTACTCAGAATACCCTAAGTGTTGTAATGGTGCTATGTAAATCCTTCAAACCTCTAATGAAGGTTTAAAGCTACAAAGGTCAAAAACATCAATACATCAATAGCTACAGTTAGTGCTTAAGGAACACACAAAATATAAAGATATAAATTAACCAAAATACAAATAGTATGAGGGGAGAAAAAAGTCTAAAGTATTTTTATGTGACCAAAGTTAAGGCAGTATCAGCTTAAAATAGTCTGTTATAACTGCAAGACTCTTTATGTTAGGCCCGTGGTAACCACAAAAAAGAATTTATGGTAGATACACAAAGAAGTAGAACAATGGAAACAAATCTGAGTACCACAGACAACCACAAAACCACAAAAGTAAATAACTAGAGAGGAAGAAAGGAAGAAGGGATCTACAAAACAATGAAAAAATGATTAATATAATGGCAGGAGTACATCCTTACCTATCAATGATAACCTTGAATATAAATTGAATAAATTCTCCAGTGAAAAGACATAAAGTGGCTAAATGGATAAAAAAGCAAGATCCAACTATATGTTGCTATAAAAGACTCATCTCACCATTAAAGACAATACAGGGCTGAAAATGAAGGGATGGAAAAATAGAAACCAAAAGCAGGCAAGAGTAGCCATACTTATATCAGATAAAGTCGACTTTATATCAAAAATTGTAAAGAGAGAAAAAAGTCATTATATTATGATAAAGGGAGCAATTCAATAATGTGTAACAATTGTAAATATATATGCACTGAACATAGGAGTACAAAAATGCATAAAGCAAAGATTATTAGATCTAAAGGAAAAGATAGTCTGCAATACAATAATTGTAAGGTACTTTAATAACCCGCTTTTAACAATGGAAAGAGCATCATAACAGAAGATTAATAAATAGTTATTAGACTTAAAACTACACCAGAAACCAAATGGACCTAATAGACATTTACAGAACAATCCAACAGTTGCAGAATACACATTTTTCTCAACCACTCATGGAGCATTCTCCAGGATAAATAATATGTTAGATCCCACAACAAGTCTAATGAAATTTAAGAAAATAGATGCCATATCATGTATCATTTTGTACCACAATGTTATAAAACTAGAAATCAACAAGAAAACCATTGAAAACCTTTCAAATACATGGAAATTAAACAACGTGCCTCCAAATAACCAATGGGCCAATGAATAAATTAAAATGTAAATTAAAAATTACTTGAGACAAACAAGAATGGAAATATATAATACCAAAACCTATGGAACAAAACAAAAGCAGTTCTAATAGGGAAGTTCACAGCAATAAGCACGTACAACAAGAAAGGGAAGGATGTCTAATGAATAACCTAATCATGCTTCTCAAGGAACTAGAAAAACAAGAACAATCAACCCAAAATTGGTAGTAGGAAGGAAATAATAAAGCTCACAGAGAAATAAATGAAAGAGACTAAAAAAAATTTAAAAATCAATGAAATGAAGAGTTGGTTTTTGAAAAGATAAACAGAATCAACAAAATGTTAGATTAACTAAGAGAAAAAGAGGAAAGACCCAAATAAATAAAATCAGAGATGAGAAGGGAGACATTACAATTGATATCACAGAAATACAAAGGATCATAAGAGATTCCTATGAACAGCAGTATGCCAGCAAATTTGAGAACTTAGACGAAATGAATAAATTCCTGAATACATACAACATAGCACGTTTAAATTATGAAAAAATAGAAAATCTGAACAGAACAATAAGTGAGTAAATTGAATCAGTAATAAAACATCTTGATGAAAAAAAAGTCCAGGTCTTGATAGCTTCACTGCTGAATTCTAGCAATATTTGAAGAAGAACTAATACCAATTATTCTCAAACTTTTCCAGAAATTAAAGAGGAGGGAATACTTTCAAACTCTTTTTAAAAGGTCAGCGTTACCCTGACCAAAGGCAAAGGCACAACAACAAAAAGAACACTACAAGCCAATACTCCTGATGAACATGGATGCAAAAATTATCAAAAAGACACCGGCAAACTGAATTCAACAGCAAATTAAAAAACATCATCTGCTACAATAAAGTGGGAATCATCCCTGGGATACAAGATGGTTCAACATATGCAAATCAATAAATGTGATATACCACATCAACAAAATAAAGATAAAATCATATCATTATTTCAATAGATTCAGAAAAAGCATTTGAGAAAATTCTACATCGCTTCATAATCAAAACTCTCAACAAATTAGGTATAGAAGGTATGTACCTCATCACGATAACGGCCATACAGATGGGGTTTCACCATGTTAGCCAGGATGGTCTTGATCTCCTGACCTCGTGATCCGCCCCAGCCTCCTAAAGTGCTGGGATTACAGGCGTGAGTCACCGCGCCCAGCCGAAATATTTTCTTTCATCCTGTAGATTGTCTGTTTACTCTGTTGATAGTTTTATTTTTCTGGTGTGCATAAGCTCTTTAGTTTAATTAGGTCCCACTTGTCAATTTTTGTTTTTTGTTGCAATTGCTTTTGATGAATTAGTCATGAATTCTTTGCCAAGACCAATGTTCTGAATGGTATTTCTTAGGTTTTCTTCTATTAGAATTTTTATAGTTTGAGGTCTTACGTTTAAATCTTTAATCCATATTGAGTTAATTTTTGTATAACTTGATAGGTAGGGATCAGTTTCATTCATCTGCATATGGATAGCCAGTTATCCCACCACCATTTATTGAATAGGGAGTCCTGTCCCCATCGTTTTTGTTGGCTTTTTCAAAGATTAGATGATTGTAGGTGTGCAGCTTTATTTCTGGGTTCTCTATTCTGTTCCATTGGTCTATGTGTCTGTGTTTCTACCATTACCATGCTATTTTGGTTACTGCAGCCCTGTAGTGTAGTTTGAAGTCAGGTAATGTTCTGCCCTGGCTCTTTCTTTTTCTGCTTAGAATTGCTTGGCTATTCAGGCGCTTTTTTGGATCCATATGAATTTTAGAGTACTTTTTTCTAATTTTGTGACAAATAACATTGGTAGTTTGATAAGAATAGCATTGGATTTTTAATTTGCTTTGGGCATTATGGCCATTTTAGAGATTTTGATTCTTACAATACCTGAGCATGGAATATAGTTCCATTTGTTTGTGTCATCTATGATTTATTTCAGCAGTGTTCAGAGATATTTCACCATCTTGGTTAAATGTATTCCTAGGTGTTTGTTTGTGTATGTGTGTGTGTGTGTGTGTGTGGCTATTACAAATGAGATTGTGTTATTTATTTGGCTCTTGGCTTGAACATATAGAAATGGTCCTGATTTTTGGCTGGGTGTGGTGGCTCATGCCTGTAATCCCACCACTTTGGGAGGCCGAGGTGGGCAGATCACGAGGTCACAAGATCGAGACCATCCTGGCCAACATGGTGAAACCCTGTCTCTACTAAAAATACAAAGATTAGCTGGATGTGGTGGCATATGCCTGTAATCCCAGCTACTTGGGAGGCTGAGGCAAGATAATCGCTTGAACCCAGGAGGCGGAGGTTGCAGTGAGCCAAGATCGCGCCACTGCACTCCAGCCTGGCGACAGAGTGAGACTCCATCTCAAAAAAAAAAAAGTCCTGATTTTTGTATATTTATTTTATATCCTAAAACTACTGATATTCCTTTTAAGTTCTAGAAGCCTTTTGGTGGAATCTAGGGTTTTCTAGGCATAGAATTACATTAGCAGTGAAGAGAAATATTTTGACTTTTTTTTCTATTTGAATGCCTTTGTTTCTTTCTCTTGCCTGATTGCTCTGGCTAGGACTTCCGGTAATATGTTGAATAGGAGTGTTGAGAGTGGTCATCCTTGTCGCATTCTGGTTCTCAAGGGGAATTGTTCCAGATTTTCCTTGTTCACTATGATACTGGCTATGGGTTTGTCATAGATGGCTCTTATCATTTGGATGTGTGCTCTTTTGATGTCTAGTTTGTTGAGTATTTTTAACATAAAAAGATATGGGTTTCTATCAAAAGCATTTTCTGTGTCAGTTGAGATGATCACATGATTTTTGTTTTTAATTCTGTTTATGTGGCGAATCACATTTATTGATTTGGATATGTTGATCCAACCCTGCATCCCAGGAATAAAGCCTACTTGAACATGGTCAATTAACATTTTGATGTGCAGCTGGATTCAGTTTGTTAATTTTTTTTTGAGGATTTTTGTGTCTATGTTCATCATGCATATTAACCTGCAGTTTTCTTGTTTTCATTGTGTCTTTGACAGATTTTGGTGTCACAGTAATCCTGGCTTTGTAGAATGAGATAGAGATGAGACCCTCCTCCTCAATTTTTTGGAATAATTTCAGGAGGATTGGTACCAGCTCTTCTTTGGACATCTGGTAAAATTCGGCTGTGAATCCATCAGGTCTAGGGCTCATTTTGGTTGACAGGGTTTTTTTGTTTTGTTTTGTTTTTTTTCTTTGAGATCCTTTTTTTTTTTTAAATTATACTTTAAGTTCTAGGGTACACATGCAACTGATTCAATTTTCGAACTTGATATTTGTCTTTTCAGGGTTTCAATTTCTTCGTGATTCAGTCTTTGGAGATTGTGTGCTCCCAGGAATTCATCAATTTCTTATAGATGATTGTCTTGTTTGTTTGCATAGAGATGTTTATAATAGTATCTGAGGGTCTTTTTTTAATTTCTTTGGGATCAGTTGTAATGTCACCTTTGTCATTTCTGATTGTGCTCTTTTTGTCTTCTTTCTTTGTTAGTCTAGCTAGTGTTCTATTGATTTCATTTATCATTTCAAAGAAACAGCTTTTGGTTTTGTTGATCATTTGTATAGATTTTGGGGTCTTAATGAAATTCAACTCTGCTGTGATTTTACTTCTTTTTTTTTCCGCTTATGTTGTGGTTGTTTCTTCTTTTCATTTTATACTCTAGATGCAATGTTAGATTGTTCATTTGTGACTTATCTAACTTCTTGATGTAGGTGTTTATTGCTATAAATATTCCTCTTAACACTGCTTTCACCACATTTCAGAAATTTTATATGTTCTTTCTCTCTTTTCATCTATTTCACATAATTTTTTTTATTTCTGCCTTAATTTCATTGTTCGCCCTAAGGTCTTTCAGGATCAAGTTGTTTAATTTTCATGTAATTATGTGGTTCTGAGAGATCGTCTTGGTATTGATTTCTATTTTTATTCCACTGTGGCCCAAAAGTATGGTTGATATGACTTTTATTTTTTTTTAATTTATTGAGACTTGTTTTATGCCCAAGTATGTGGTTGATCTTAGAGTATATTCAGTGTTCAGATAAGAAGGATGTATATTCTTTGGTTGATTGGCAGAATGTTGTGTAGTTGTCTACTATGTCCAGTTGGTGAAGTGTTAAATTTATGTGCAGAATGTCTTTGCTAGTTTTCTTCTTTGATCATCTGCATTTTAGTACTCTCAGTGGGGTGTTGAAGTTTCCCACTGTTCTGGTTTGGCTGTCTAATACTTTTCAGAGATCTAGAAGTACTTGTTTTATGAATCTGGGTGCTATAATATTGTGTACATTCTAAATTTAGGATAGTTCAGTCTTCTTGTTGAATTGAACCCTTTTAAATTACATAGTGCCTTTTTTGTCCTTTTTTGTTTTGATTTGTTTTACTATTTTTAGTTTAAAGTCTATTTTATTTGATATAAGAACATTGACCTGACCTCTGTTCTTTTATGTTTTCTATTTGCATGATATAGCTTTCTCCAGTCATTTACTTAGAGCCTATGTGTGTTGTTATGTGTGAGCTAGGTTTCTTGAAGATAGTGGATGGAAGGGTCCTTTTTTTTTTTTAATCCAGCTTGCCACTCTGTGCCTTTTAAGTGGGGGCATTCAGACCATTTTCATTCAAGGTAATATTGACATGTGAGGTTTTGATCCTATTGTGAAGTTGTTAGCTGGTTGTTTTGTTTGTATTGAGTAGTTGCTTTATAGGGGTTGTTAGCTATGTACTTAAGCATGATTTTGTGTTAGCAGATGTTTTCTTTCCAGGTTTAGAACTCCCTTTAGGTTCTCTTGTAAGGCTTGTCTAGTGGTAATGAATTCCCTTAGTGATTTCTCATCTATAAAAATTTTTATTTCTCCTTCACTTATAAGCTTAGTTTGGCAGGATATGAAATTCTTAGTTGGAATTTCTTCTCTTAAAAATGCTGAAAATAGGCCCCTAATCTCTTCTGGCTTGTAAGGTTTCTGATGAGATGTCCACTGTTAGCTGAAGGGGTTTCTTTTATATGTGTTCTCACCTTTTTGCATAGCTGCCTTTAAGATTTTTGCTTTAGTGTTGACCTTGGGACAGTCAGTCTGGTGAAAATATTCTTTGACAGTGTTCATTTTGTAAAGCATTTGGCAGATGTACTCTGGATTAGTTTTTATCCGGCTACCTCTGTAGCAAGATTAGGGACATTTTCTTGAATTATTCTCTGAAATATGTTTTCCAAGTTGTTTAATTTTTCTCCTTCTCCCTCAGGAATGCCAATAATTCATAGATTTCATCACTTTACATAATTCCATATTTCTCAAAGATTCTTTTCATTTAAAACATTTTTTTTCATTATTTTTCTCTGGGTTGGTTTAAAAGACTGGGCTTCAATTTTTGAAATTCTTTCTTCTGCTTGATCTCATCTATTGATAAAGCTTTCAATTGTATTTTGAAATTCTTGAAGTGAGTTTTTCAATTTCCATTGTTCTGATTGATTTTTCAAGATATTTTTCTCTTCCTTCATTTTCTGGATTGCTTTCAAAGCTTTTTTGTGTTTTCAGCATTGTTTTGGATCTTGCTTAGCTTCTTTGTAATCCATGTTTTGAATTCTTTATATGTCATTTATTAGTTTGCATTTTGGTTAGAGACCATTTCTGGAGAGCTAGTGTCATCTTTTGGTGGTGTCACAGCATTGAGATTTTTCATGGTGCTAGAATTCTTATGGTGGTTCCTTAACTGGAGAGGTTAGCAATTCTAATTATTGTAATTATTTTTTTGTGAATAGGATTTTTTCACTTTCTGCATATGTGTATATATATTTTTCTTTTTCTTTTCCTCCTCCCTAGGAGTGTGACCGTAGAGTATGTTGAGTAGGGTCTTTTGGCTTTGCTTGTATAGCCCTGTGAACTTCTGTTGGCAGGTTTTGTATTGAGCCATGTGGTTTGACCTACATGCCAGTAGATGGCACTTGTGGGAAAGAGCCATCTGTGGAACAAGCAGGGGGGTTTGTACTGATCTTTGTTTACTGTGGAGTGTACTCTGTTGTTTCAGGTGAAGGGCCGAGCCTTGGAATGGCTGGAGCTCTGAGCTTCCTGTTCCATGGGGGGTGGAGGGACACAGCTGGGCAATGCTGGAGCCTCTGGGTTACCCACAAATACCCTGATGGTGAGCACAGGCACTAGTCCTGAGAAGGGCGACTGGGAGGAGCTCCTGCTGAAGTGTGTTGAGGTATTTGTAGGGGAATGTGTGGGCTGCACTTGCTCTGCATCCTATATAGGCTCAAACTTGATCTGTTTTCCTATCACACCTCTGTTCCATGGCTCTGACTCCTAGTTCAGATACGTACTGCATTAGTCTGTCTCTGGACCACAGTGTAGTTGAGAGCCACAGGAAACACCTATTTTTGCGACTCTCCATGGGAGTGGTTTAAGGGCATAACCTCAACACTCAGCCTGAATTAGATAACTTTATGGATCCTCTGTTCTCTGATGTGGCAATATTGCTGTTTCTCATAAAGAGAGTAGTTTCATTTTTAGGCCTGTGTGAGTAGATGTTGGTGTTGGTAGTGTCGACTAGTTAGGTTGGCCTGACCACAAGCCCTTGAGGAAATGGTCAGGTGCTAGAAGAGTTGGAATAGGGTAGACAGTCCTCCAGTTCCCAGGCCCCTAGACGTCCTGATGGACAGCATATATGAATCCTAAAGGACTGGACTGTGGTCAGGCCAGCCCAAAGTTGAGGTGCTGGCTGTGATCAGGAGGGTGGCCTTGTTCTATGCTCACTGGCAGATCTCTCAGGTGAGAGCAAGCAGAATGTTTATGTGATTGGAACCCAAGGGACTATCATAGGCCTGTGGGGGTTTGGTTTTCAGAAGGCCTCTGTGTTTAGGCATAAGCGGTGTGGCTGTGCTGTGAACCTTTCATTCGGGAGGGCTAGGGGCAACTGGGGCAGTGGAGACTGGTGGCTGTGGGGTACATGGCATGCTTACACTTCCCTCCCACCCAGGCGATGCTGGATTTTGCTGTTGTGGGCATGTAAAGGTGCCCAGCCTTGTCTGTTGCCTCTGGGAATTTTGCTCCAGAGGAATGCGTGTTGTGACTTACCACAGTGTTCAGGTAGGTGTGGGGCTGCTGTGCTGGGAGCCCAAGCCTTGTGCTGTGAGGAGCAGCAGATGTAGGGGGTTGCGCAGCGTGAAGTATGGCTGCTTTCCAGAGGAACACAGAACTGTGACTGCCTGCGCTGGCCAGGTGGGAACAGGGCTGCTGCACTGGGAGCCCAAGCCAGCAAGCCTTGCATGACAAGAAGTAGCAGGGGCATGGGGGTCTCATGTGGTATAGTCTGGCCACTCCTCAGGACTGCTGCTGTGGCCTCTATCCTAGGGATGTGCAAAAGAGCCTGTCCTCCCTTGTTGGGGCTACAGCAACTGATGCTAGTCTGCTCAGGTATCCATGGCCTGACGGGTTCCGTGTGGAATTGAGTGGTGTCCCTAGAAAGACACCAGGCAGCTCTGTGTCCATCTGGAGGCCCTGGGGGAGTCAGGGAGGTTATCCTGTGCCCAGAATTGCAAAGATTCATTGCAGAAGTGTGGATTATCTAGGGACTTTCACTTACTCACTGTTGCCTTACATTATGGAGCTTCCCCTGGCTCCATGCTAGTCCCAGGTGGGTGGCTGCCCAGCTTCACTCTTCTCTGTTTTCCATGTGTTCCATCACTTTCTTAGTGAATCCCAATGTAATCTCTTAGACCATCATCTTGAAGAACTAGTATTTGCTCACCGTTTTGTTTCCTCTACGTGAGAGATGCACACACTAGCTGCTTCTCAGCCATCTTAGACTGGAACAAGTGAAAAAAATAATCTTAAAATTTATATGGAAAGGCACAGTACCTTGGACAGTGAAGTAGTCCTGAGCAGAGAGAACAAAGCTGGGGGAATCACACTACCTGACTTTAAAATACACTGCAAGGCTGTAGTAACTAACACAGCATGGGACTGGCATAAAATCTGACATCAACCAGTGGAACAGAAGCAAGAGTCTAGAAATAAATTACACACTCCTATAACCAACTGATTTTTGACAAAGGTGCCAGGAACACACATTGGGAAAAGACAATCTATGGAGCAGGGAAAATTAGATAACTATATGCAGAAGAATGTGAGTAGACTCCTAACTCTCATCATATACAAAACATCAAATCAAAATGGATTAAAAACTTAAATATAAAACTTGAAACTATAATATGAAAGTACTAGAAGAAAACAGGAGAAATACTTTATGACGCTGGGCTGGGCAAGGATTTTTTAAATAAGGCCTCGAAAGTACAGAAAACAAAAGCAAAAATAGACAAATGGGGATTATATCTAACTGAAAAGCTTGCTCAGAGAGGGAAGCAGTTAACAAAGTGAAAAGATAACTTACAGAATGGGAGAAAACATTTGCATGGGAGAAGGATTTAATAAACAGACTATATAAAGAATTTAAACAACTCAACAATGAAAAACAAATAACTGGATAAGAAAATTGAGCAACACGGCCGGGTGCAGTGGCTCACGCCTGTAATCCCAACACTTTGGGAGGCCAAGGCGGGCAGAGCACGAGGTCAGGAGATTGAGACCATCCTGGCCAACATGGTGAAACGCCGTCTCTACTAAAAATACAAAAAATTAGCTGGGCATGGTGGCAGGCGCCTGTAGTCCCAGCTACTCAGGAGGCTGAGGCAGGAGAATGGAGTGAACCCGGAAGACGGAGCTTTCAGTGAGCCAAGATCGCGGCACTGCACTCCAGCCTGGGCGACAGAGCAAGACTCCGTCTCAAAAAAAAAAAAAAAAGAAGAAAATTGAGAAGAAAACCTTAATAGACATTTCTCTAAAACAGACATACAAATGGCCAACAGGTACATGAAAAAATATTCAGCATCACTAATCATTAGGAAAATGCAAATCAAAATTATACTGAGGTACCACCTTACTCCAGTTAGAAAGACTGTCATCAAAAAGACAAAACAAGTGCTAGTGAGGATGTGGAGAAAAGGGAACACTTACACACTATTCATGGGATTGGAAATTAATACAGCCACTATGTAAATCTGCATGGAAATTTCTCAAAAAATTAAAAATAGAAATGCCATATGACCCAGGAATCCCACTACTGGGTTCATATCCAAAGGAGATGAAATTGGTATGTCAAAGCAACATTTGCAGTCATGTGATTATTGTAGCAGTATTTACAATAACCAAGGTGTGGGATTGACCCAAGTATGCAATAATAGATGAGTGGATAAATAAAATATGGTATATATACACAATAGAATACTATTTAGCCTTAAAAAACTATTATAGAAATAGAGAGTAGAACAATGGGCACCAGAGACTGGGAAAGGGTGAGAGAAGGGGAGAATGGGGAGACATTGGTCAACAGGCACAAAGTTGCAATTAAGTAGGAGGAATAAGCTCTAGTATTTCACAATATAGTAAGGTGATGATGGTTAACAGTAAAGCATTATATATTTTTAAAAAGCTATAAGAGAGGTTTTTTGAATGCTCTTATCACAAAGAAATCATAGATGTTTGGTGATGGATATACTAAATAACCCCGATTTGAACATTATGCAACATATATTTATCAGAACATTGATTTGTATTGCATAAATATCTACAATTACAATGTGTCAATTTAAGAAAGGAACAAAAAGAGGTAAAGAAGAAGAATTTGGGATGCCAAAAAGGGAAGAGACTAACGAAGGTCTCAAAGCTAGGTGGTGGCCAGAGCCAGGGCTGTATGTAATACAGTTCCTTAATGTGTTGGATTAGAGCTCATTTCACAGAGTCCTTTTCCGATGCTCTGACTACATTGACCTTTTGCTACCATGATAGCTTTGTATATATTCTGTGATTTTTAAGATTGAATCTCTTATAATAGATTAAGAGTTTTACAATAAAGTAATATTTATATTTATTTTTACAATAGATAAGAAAGTATGATAGCCTTCTTTTTAAAATAAACTCTTGAAAACAATTTCAGATTCTTTTGTTCATACATTTTTTAATTAAAGTAAAATTCAGTAACAGAAAATTAACCATTTTTTAGAATTTTTTCTTAAAAAAAAAAAAAACGGGATGCATGTGCAGAACATGCAGGTTTGTTACATAGGTATACGTTTGCCATGGTGGTTTGCTGCACCTATTGACCCATCCTCTAAGTTCCCTCCCATTACCCCCACCCCCCAACAGGCCCTGGTGCATGTTGTTCCCCTCTCTGAGTCCATGTGTTCTCATTGTTCAAGTCCCACTTATGAGGGAAAACATGTGATATTTGGTTTTCTGTTTCTGTGTTGATTTGCTGAGGATGATGTCTTCCAGCTTCATCCATGTCTCTGCAAAGGACATGATCTCATCCTTTTTATGGTTGCATAGTATTTGATGGTGTGTATGTATCACATTTTCTTTATCCATTCTATCAATGATGGGCATTTGGGTTGGTTCTATGTCTTTTCTATTGTAAATAGTGCTGCAATAAACATACTTGTGTATGTGTCTTTATGGTAGAATGATTTATGTTTCTTTGGGTATATACCCAGTAATGGGATTCCTGGGTCAAGTGGTATTTCTGGTTCTAGATCCTTAAGGAATTGCCACACTGTCTTCCACAGTGGTTGAACTAATTTACATTTCCACCAACAATGTAAGAGTGTTCCTATTTCTCCATAGGCTTGCCAGCATCTATTGTTTCCTGACTTTTTAATAATTGCCATTATGACTGGTGTTGAGATGGTATCTCATTGTGGTTTTGATTTGCATTTCTCTGATGATCAGTAATGTTGAGCTTTTTTTCATACATGTGTTGGCCGCATAATACCATTCAGGACATAGGCATGGGCAAAGACTTCATGACAAAAATGCCAAGAGCAATTACAACAAATGCCAGAATTTACAAATGGCATCTAATTAAACTAAAGATCTTATGCACAGCAAAAGAAACTATCATCAGAGTGAACAGGCAACCTAAAGAATGGGACGAAATTTTTGCAATCTACCCATCTGATAAAGGTCTAATATCCAGAATTTACAAGGAACTTAAACAAATTTACAAGGAAAAAACAACCCCATCAAAAAGTGGCAAAGGATACGAACAATTTTCAAAAAAATTAACCATTTTAAAGCAGATGATTTGGTGGCATTTTGTACATTGGCAATGTTATATTACCATCATCTCTATCTAGTTCCAAAATATTTTCACAACCCCCATAAAACTCCTGTACTCATTAAGAAGTCACTTTCCATGTCTTATTTACCCCAGCCTTTGGCAATCACTTGATTTCCTTCCTGTCATTATGGATTTATCTAGCCTTGATATCTCACATAAATGGAATACAATATGAGAATTTTATACCTGGCTTCTTTCACTCAGCCTGACTGTTTTGAGATTTATTTATGTTGTAGCATGTATCAGTATCTCACTTTGTGTTTATGGCTGAATCATCGTCCATTGTTTGGATATACCTCATTTTGTTTATCCGTTCATCTGTTAATGGACATTTGGGTTGTTTCCACCATAGAATAGTTTTATATTCACGGAGAAACTGCAAAGATACTACATAAATTTTATGTATACCTACTCCCAATTTCTCCTATAGTTAATGTTTTACATACTATTGTACATTTGCTGTAAATAATGAACCAATATTGATACTTAATTATCAACTAGCTGAAGTCCATACATTACCCAGATATGCTTAGTTTTTTGTAATGGACATTTTCTGTCTCAGGGTCTTATGCAGGATACCAGGTTCTGTTTTGTCATTGTTTCCCCTTAGGCAGTTCTAGACTGAGAATTTCTCAGACTTTTATTTTTGATGACCTTAATAATTTTGAGGAGTGCTGTCTAGGTATATTTTAGAATGTCTCTTACTTTGGACTTTTCAGATGTTTTCCTGTGATTATACAGGGGCTACTGGTTTTAGTGAAGAAAACTACAGAGAGGTAAAGAGCCATTTTTTATCACATATCAGAGTGTATTTAGTCTGTTTTCACACTACTGTGAAGAATTGCCTGAGACTGGGTAATTTATAAAGAAAAGAGGTAGACTCACAGATCTGCCTGGCTTGGGATCAGTCATAGCAGAAGGGGAAGCAGGCATGTCTTACATGGAGGCAGGCAAGAGAGAGAAAAGGGGAAACTGCTATTTATAAAACCATTAGATCTCCTGAGAATTCAATCACTATTACAAGATCAGCTTGGGGAAAACTGCCCCCATGATCCAATCACCTCTCACCAGGACCCTCCCTTGACACCTGGGGATTACAGTTCAGATTACAATTCCAGATGAGATTTGGGTGGGGACACAGAACCAACCATATCATTGTGCCTCTGGCCCCTCCAAAATCTCATGCCCTCACATTTCAAAACAAAATTTTGCCTTCCCAACAGTCCCCTAAAGTCCTAAGTCATTCCAGCATTAACTCAAAAGTCCAAGGCCAAAGTTTTATCTGAGAGAAGCCCCTTCCATCTATGAGCCTGTTAAAAAAAAAAAAAGCTAGTTACAGCTAAGATATGATTGGGTTATGGGCATTGGGTAAATGTTCTCATTCCAAATGGGAGAAATTAGCCAAAACAAGGGGGTTACAGGCCCCATGCAAGTCTGAAATCCAGCAGGGCAGTCATTAAATCTTAAAGCTCCCAAATGATATCCTTTGACTCTGTATGTCACATGTGAGGCATGCTGTTGCAAGAGGTGGCCTCCCATGACCCTGGGCAGTTCCTTCATAGGCTGGCATTGAGTGCCTGCAGGTTTTCCAAGCATACGGTATAAGCTCTTGGTGGATCTACCATTCTGGGGTCTAGAGGATGGTGGCCATCTTCTTATATCTACACTAGGTAGCACCCCCAGTGAGGACCCTGTGTGGGTGCTCCAAACCCACATTTACCTTCTGCATTGCCCTAGCAAGAGGTTCTCCATGAGAGCTCTCCCTACCCACAGCAAAAGTTCTGCCTGGACATCCAGGTGTTTCCATACATCCTCTGAAACCTAGGAAGAGGTTCCAATGCTCAGTTCTTGACTTCTGTGCACCCGCAGGACTAACATCATGTGGAAGTTGCCAAGGCTTGGGGCTTGCACCTTTTGAAGCCATAGCCAGAGCTGTACCTTGGCCCCTTTTAGCCACAGCTGGAACTGAAGCAGCTGGGATGCAGGGCACCATGTCCTGAGGCTGTACAGAGCTGGGGATTGCCCTGGGCCTGGCCAATGAAACCATTTTTTCCTCCCAGGCCTACAGGGAGGGGATGCTGTGAAGGTCTCTGACATGCCCTGGAGACGTTTTCCCCATAGTCTTATCAATTAACATTCAGCTCCTCTTTACTTATACAGATTTCTGCAGACTGCTTGAATTTTTCCCCAGAAAATGGATTTTTCTTTTCTATTGCATTGTCAGTCTGCAAATTTTCCAAACTTTCATGCTCTTCTTCCTCTTGAATACTTTGCTGCTTAGAAATTTCTTCTGCCAGACACCCTAAATCAACTCAGTTGAGTTCAAAGTTCCACAGATCTCTAGGACAAGGGCAAAATGCTCCCAGTGTCTTTGCTAAAGCATAGTAAGAGTCACCTTTGCTCCATTTCTCAAGAAGGTCCTCATCTGCATCTGAGACCACCTCAACCTGGACTTCATTGTCCATATCACTATCAGCCTTTTGGTTGAAACCATTCAACAAGTCTCTAGGAAGTTCCAAACTTTCCCACTTCTTACTGTCTTCTGAGCCCTACAAGTCTCTAGGAAGATCCAAACTTTCCCACGCTTTTCTGTCTTCTTTTGAGCCCTCCAAACTGTTCCAATGTCTGCCTGTAACCCAATTCTAAAGTCACATGCACATTTCAATTATAGCAGTACCCCACTCTCTGCAGTACCAATTTACTGTATTAGTTCATTTTTACACTGCTATACTGACATACATGAGGCTGGGTAATTTATAAAGGAAACAGGTTTAATTGACTCTCAGTTTTGCATGGCTGGGAAGCCTCAAAAAATATACAATCATGGCAGAAGGGGAAGCAAACACATTCTTCTTCACATGATAGCAGGAGAGAGAAGTGAGAGTGAAGGGGAGAAAAGCCTTTTATAAAACCATCAGATCTCATGAGAGCTCACTCACTATCATGAGAACAGCATGAGGGAACTGCCCCCATGATCTAATCACCTCCCATGAGGTTCCTTCACCAACACTTGGGGATTATCATTCAGATTACAATTCAAGATTAGGCTTTGGGTGGGAACACAGCCAATCCATATCATTCTGTCCCTGGCCCCTACCAAATCTCATGTCCCACTTTACCGTATTTGTTTGTTCTCAGCTGCTATAAAGAACTGCCCAAGACTGGGTAATTTATAAAGGAAAGAGGTTTAATTGATTTACAATTCTGCATGGCTGGGGAGGCCTCAGGAAACTTACAATCATGGTGGAAGGGGAAGCAAACATATCCTTCTTCACATGATGGCAAGAAGGAGAAGTGCCAAGCAAAGAGAGAAAAGCCCCTTATAAAACCATCAGATTTTGTGAGAACTTACTCACTATCGTGAGAACAGCAGCATGGGGGTAAACTCCCTCCATGATTCAATTACCGCCCACCTGGTCCATCCCACAACATGTGGGGATTATGGGAACTACAATTCAAGATGGGATTTGGGTGGGGATATAGCCAAACTGTATAAGTCTTCTACTGCTACCTATAGTAGTAAGTATCAGTCATTTTATTTAGCATTCTTTCATGTTATTAAAAGGCATCTTAGAATCTGTCTTCAACCAGAGGCCTGACTTTAGTCTCAAATCTATTGTGGAGCAATTTTAGTACTTTTTTCCTTTAAGAGCAAAACTCCTGGTTACTGTGGCCTGATTTTCAATCTGGAGCCCACTAGGCTCAGGGCTTTTTTTTTCTACTTATTCTTGACTTTTTTTTCTCTTTTAACTTTTGGTTCACAGAGATGCTCATCTGTCCTCTAAAACCTGGTATATCTGCGTGGTTATATCTATAATTACTATATATTTGGAGGGGACATGTAAATTATGAGGGTGCTGACCTGTGTACATCAGAAGTCAAAATATCTTATTTAAAAGCCATATAACAGGCAATTATATTGATATTTCAAAAAAATTTTTTTAATTTATAATTTCAAATAAATTTGAAGAGTACTGAGTATAAAAGATTGAGAAACACTAGTATAAAATGTTTGGACGTAAGTAAATTTTGGCGTGAGTCTGGAACATGGGGAAATATTGAATGTATTGTGGGAGACAAAGCTAGAAATAAAGGAGCCAGATAACAGGGACATTGGGTCATATTCTAACTGAGCCATTGAATAAGGATTTGAAGAGGTGAGTGACATAGTTAAGTTTGCATTTTAGAAAGATCACTCTGGCACAAATATGGGTGATAGATTGGTGGCAACAATTAGGTGATAAGTGATGAAGTGTTGCCTAAAAGCAGCGTGGCAGGGCTGGAGAGTGATACAGGTTTTCTTTTATTTTTGACTAGTTAGATAAAATTATCATTGGGTTAATTCATGCTGCTGCCTCTAAGATTCCTTGTTAAATTTCACAATATGATGGATTCCAGGAGGATTTTCCTACATTGAGAGATGGAGATTTTTTGTGTGTGTGTGCTCAAGAATAGCTATGTTTGGGGAAATAATGATTATTTAAGAAAAACTAAGAGATCAGGAAGTTTTAATATGAATCCATTAGAGTTAGTTTAGTATTTTGTAAGATTAATGCCAACATTCAAATAAGGTTGGAGCATAAACAGAGGCTCATGTTTGTGTGTGGCAGCTGAAGGATTAAAGTCAAAGAACTAGAACTGACTCCAACTCTGGCTTAACACAGTATAGCTTGGAGCAAGTCACTTCTCATTTGGGCATTATTGATTTTTTTTTCTTTAAAGTGGAATAAACCTTAAGGTTCCTTCTAATTCTTACCAGATCATATTCTTAATTAGGAGTGCATGGTATGAGGAATAATTTAAAAAATGAAAAACAGACTACTCTTCTGTTATCTTGGCTGATGGCAATAATATGACCATTAGAGGAGATAACACTGATCTTAAGGGTTGATGTGATGGTTAATTTTATGTCTCAACTTGGCTAGGCCCTGGTACCCAGGCATTTGTTTAAACCTTAGTCTAGATGCTACTGTGATGGTATTTTTAGGTAAAATTCACATTAAAATTATTAGGCTTGGAGTAAAGCAGATTACCATCTACAGTATGGTGTGGGGCTTATTCAAATAGTTAAACATCATAAAAGCAAAAAGATTGACTTCCCCAAAGAAGAGGAAATTCTGCCTGTGGTCATCCTTCAGATTCAAGGGGCAACATTAACTCTTCCCTGGATCTTCAGTCTGACAGCCCAACCTGCAGATTTTGGATTTGCTGTCCTCCATGATTGTTTTAACCGATTTCTTAAAATAAATCCATGGGCAAGCTTCAGCAGACTTAAATGTTCCTGCTAATGGCTCTGAAGAGAGCAGTGGATTTCCCAGCACAGTGCTTGAGCTCTGCTAAGGGACAGGCTGCTTCCTCAAGTGGGTTCCTGACCCCTGTACCTTCTGAATGAGAGACACCTCCCAGCAGGGGTTGACAGACACTTCATACAGGAGAGCTCCAGCTGGCATCTGTTGGGTGCCCCTCTGGGACAAAGTTTCCAGAGGAAGGAGCAGGCAGCAATCTTTGCTGTTGCACAGGCTGCACTGGTGACATCCAGGCAAACAGGGCCTGGAGTGGACTTACAGCAAAATCCAGCAGACTTGCAGAAGAAAGGCCCTACTATTAGAAGGAAAACTAACAAACAGAAAGCAATGGCATCAACATTAACAAAAAGAACACCCATGCACATGTATACATATGTAACTAACCTGCACAATGTGCACATGTACCCTAAAACTTAGAGTATAATAATAAAAAAAAAACATTAAAAATAAAAAAATAAAAAAAAAAAAGAACACCCATGCAAAAACCCCATCCGAAGGTCACCAACATCAAAGACCAAAGGTAGATAAATCATGAAGATGAGGAAAAACCCGTGTAAAAAGGCTGAAAATTCCAAAAAACAGAATGCCTCTTCTCCTCCAAAGGATCACAACTCCTCGCCAGCAAGAGAACAAAACCGTACAGAGGGTAAGTTTGATGAATTGACAGAAGTAGGCTTCAGAATGTGGGTAATAACAAAATCCTCTGAGCTAAAGGAGCATGTTCTAACCCAATGCAAGGAAGCTAAGAATCTTGATAAAATGTTACAGGAACTGCTAACTAGAATAACCAGTTTAGAGAAGAACATAAATGACCTGATGGAGCTGAAAAACACAGGACGATAGCTTCATGAAGCATACATGAGTATCAATAGCTGAATCGATGAAGTGGAAGAAAGGATATCAGAGACTGAAGATCAACTTAATGAAATAAAGCGTGAAGACAAGATTAGAGAAAAAAGAATGAAAAGGAATGAACAAGGCCTCCAAGAAATATGGAACTATGTGAAAAGACCAGACCTACATTTGATTGGCATACCTGAAAGTGAGGGGCAGAATGGAACCAAGTTGGGAAACACTGTTCAGGATATTATCCAGGAGAAATTCCCCAACCTAGCAAAACAGGCCAACATTCAAATTCTGGGAATACAGACAACACCACAGAGATATTCCTTGAGAATAGCAACCCCAAGACACATAATTGTCAGATCCACCAAGGTTGAAATGAAGGAAAAAATGTTAAGGGCAGCCAGAGGGAAAGGTCAGATTACCCGCAAAGGGAAGCCCATCAGACTAACAGGGGATCCTCTGCAGAAACCCTGTAAGTCAGAAAAGAGTGGGGTCCAATATTCAACATTCTCAAAGAAAAGAATTTTCAACCCAGAATTTCACATTTAGCCAATCTAAGCTTCATAGGCAAAGGAGAAATAAAATCCTTCACAGACAAGCAAATGCTGAAGGATTTTGTCACCATCAGCCTTGCCCGTGCAAGAGCTCCTGAAGGAAGCACTAAATATGGAAAGCATAAACCAGTACCAGCCAGTGCAAAACCATACCAAAATGTAAAGATCATTGACACTATGAAGAAACTGCATCAAGTAATGGGCAAAGTAACCAGCTAGCATCATATGACAGGATCCAATTCACACATAACTATATTAATCTTAAATGTAAATGGGCTAAATGCCCCAATTAACAGACACAGACTGGCAAATTGGATAAAGGGTCAAGACCCATTGGTATGCTGTATTGAGGAGACCCATCTCATGTGCAAAGACACACATAGGCTCAAAATAAAGGGATGTGGGAAGATTTACCAAGCAAATGGAAAGCCAGAAAAGCAGGGGTTGCAATCCTAGTCTCAGATAAAACAGACTTTAAGCCAACAAAGATCAAAAGAGACAAAGAAGGGCATTACATAATGGTAAAGGGATCAATGCAACAAGAAGGGCTAACTATCCTAAATATATATATGCACAGAATAGAGGAGGACCCAGATTCTTAAAGCAAGTTTTTTGAGACCTACAGAGAGACTTAGACTACCACACAATAATAGTGAGAGACTTTAACACCCCACTGTCAATATCAGACAGATGGGGACAGAAAATTAACAAGGATATTCAAGACTTGAACTCAGCTCTGAACCAGGTGGACCCAATAGACGTCTACAGAACTCTCCACCCCAAGTCAACAGAATATACATTCTTCTCAGGACCACATAGCACTTATTCTAGAACTGTTCACATAACTAGGAGTAACAGACTCCTCAGTATATGCAAAAGAAATCATAAGAAACAGTCTCTCAGACCACAGTGCAATCAAATTGGAACTCAGGATTAAGAAACTCACTCAAAACCGCACAACTACATGGAAACTGAACAACCTGCTCCTGAATGCCTACTGGGTAAATAACGAAATTAAGGCAGAAATAAGTAAGTTATTTGAAACCAGTAAGAACAAAGAGACAATGTACCAGAATCTCTGGGACACAGCTAAAGCAGTGTTAAGAGGGAAATTTATAGCACTAAATGCCCTCATGAGAAAGCAGGAAAGATCTAAAATTGACACGCTAACATCACAATTAAAAGAACTAGAGAATCAAGAGCAAACAAATTCAAAAGCTAGCATAAGACAAGAAATAACTGAGATCAGAGCAGAACTGAAGGGGATAGAGACACGAAAAACCCTTCAAAAAATCAGTGAATCCAGGAGCTGGTTTTTTGAAAAGATTAATAAAATAGACCACAAGCCAGACTAAAAAAAAAAAAGAAAAGAGAGAAGAATCAAATAAATGCCAAAAAGTGATAAAGGGGATATCACCACTGATCCCACTGAAATACAAGCTACCATCAGAGAATACTCTAAAAATCTCTATGCAAAATAAACCAGAAAATCTAGAAGAAATGGATAAATTCCTGGACACATACATCACCTAAGACTAAACCAGGAATCATTTGAAACCCTGAATAGACCAATAATTTCTGAAATTGAGGCAGTAATTAATAGCCTACCAACCAAGAAAAGCCTAGGACCAGACGGATTCACAGCCGAATTCTACCAGAGGTACAAAGAGGAGCGGGTGCCATTCCTTCTAAAACTATTCTAAGCAACAGAACAAGAGGTACTCCTCCCTAATTCATTTTTTGAGGCCAGCATCATTCTGATACTAAAACCTGGTAGAGATCCAACACAAAAGAAAATTTCAGACCAATATTCCTGATGAATCTCTATGCGAAAATCCTCAATAAAATTCTGGCAAACCAAATCCAGCAGCACATTAAAAAGCTTATCCACCACGATCAAGTCGGCTTCATCCCTGGGATGCAAGGCTGGTTCAACATACTTAAATCAGTAAACGTAATTCATGACATAAACAGAACCAATGTCAAAAACCACAATTATATCAATAGATGCAGAAAAGTCCTTTGATAAAATTCAACACCCCTTCATACTAAAAACACCCAATAAACTAGGTATTGATGGAATGTATCTCAAAATAATAAGAGCTATTTATGACAAACCCACAGCCAATATCATACTGAATGGGCAAATTCTGGAAGCATTATCTTTGAACACCAGTACAAGGATGCCCTCTCTCACCATTCCTATTCGACATAGTATTGGAATTTCTGGCCAGAGCAATCACACAAGTGAAAGAAATAAAGGTTATTCAAATAGGAAGAGAGGAAGTCAAATTATCTCTGTTTGCAGATGACATGATTGTATATTTAGAAAACTCCATCATCTCAGCCCAAAAACTCCTTAAGCTGATAAGCAACTTCAGCAAAGTCTAAGGATACAAAATCAATGTGCAAAAATCGCATCATTTGTATACACAAATAATAGACAAACAGAGAGCCAACTCATGAGTGAACTCTCAATCACAATTACTACAAAGAGAATAAAATACCTAGGAATAAAACTTCAAGGGATATGAAGAACTTGTTCAAGTAGAACTACAAACCACTCCTCAAGGAACTAAGAGAGGACACAAACAAATGGAAAAACATTCCATGCTCATGGATAGGAAGAATCAATATTGTGAAAATGGCCGTACTGCCCAAAGTAATTTATAGATTCAATGCCATTCCCATCAAGTTACCATTGACTTTCTTCACAGAATTAGAAAACTACTTTAAATTTCATATGGAACCAAAAGAAGCCTGTATAGCCAAGAAGATACTAAGAAAATAGAACAATGCTGGAGGCATCACACTACCTGACTTCAGACTATACTGCAAGACTACAGTAACCCAAACAGCGTGGTACAGGTACCAAAACAGATATATAGACCAATGGGACAGAACAGAAGCCTCAGAAATAACACCACACATCTAAAACCATCTGATCTTTGACAAACCTGACAAAATCAAGCAATGGAGAAATGATTATTTAATAAATGGTTTTGGGAAAACTGGCTAGCCATATGCAGAAAACTGAAACTGGACCCCCTTCCCTACACCTTATACAAAAATTAACTCAAGATGATTAAAGATTTAAATTTAAGACCTAAAACCATAAAAAGCCTAGAAGAAAACCTAGGTAATACCGCTCTTGTATATTTTCTTCTACACATGTTATGATTTTGGATTTTACATTTGGGTATATGATCCATCTTGAGGTAATTTTTGTATATGGTTTTCAGTAAGGATTAATGTTTATTTTGAGCATTACTTATTAAAAAGACTTATTTTCTCATTGAATTGCCTTGTCATCTTTGTTAAATTGATGTGGGTCCATTTCTGTACTCTTTATTCTGTTTCATACATACATGTATAGGTCTGTCATTTTGAAATACCAAACTGTCTTGATTACTACATTTATAACAGTTTTCACTAAAATTGCTTTGATGACATTCTATTACATTTTCATATACGATGTAGAATGAGATAATCAATGTCTACGAAAAGGCTTCCAGAATTTGATTGTGTTTCCATTGACTCTACATACACACATTGGGGAGAACTACCATTTTAAAGTATTCTTCAAATTCTCTCAACATTTTGTAGTTTTTAATGTAGAAGACTTGGACATCTCTTGTTAGATTTATTTCTAGGTATCCTGTGTTTTTTTGATATAACCGTGAATGGAATTCTTAAAATCTTATTTCTAATTTTTTGATGATAGTGCCATTGCTTGTTGCTACTGCAGTTATTTTCATATATTCACTTTGTATCTGTGACTTTGCTAAATTTATTTGTTGGCTCAAGTAGTTAATTTGTCAATTTACTATTCTTTACATAGAAAAATCTATGTAAATAGCACTATAATCTGTTAATAAGGAAAGTTTTAGTATTATTTCCTCTTTCCTAATCTTTATGCCTTTTATTTGTTTTTCTTCTATTGCAACAGTACTGGTACCAAAACAGATATGTAGACCAATGGGACAGAACAGAGGCCTCAGAAATAACACCACACATCTACAACCATCTGATCTTTGACAAACCTGACGAAAACAAGCAATGGGGAAAGGATTCCCTATTTAAAACTGTGTTGCAAAAACTGGCTAGCCATATGCAGAAAACGAAACTGGACCCCTTCCTTACATGTTATACAAAAATTAACTCCAGATAGATTAAAAGACTTAAACGTAAGACCTAAAACCATAAAAACCCTAGAAGAAAACCTAGGCAATACCATTCAGGACATAGGCATGGGCAAAGACTTCATTACTAAAACATCAAAAACAATTGCAACAAAAGCCAAAATTGATAAATGGGATCTAATTAAACTAAAGAGCTTCTGCACAGCAAAAGAAACTATCATTAGAACGAACAGACAACCTATAGAATGGGAGAAAATTTTTGCAATCTATCCATCTGACAAAGGGCTAATATCCAGAATCTACAAGGAACCTAAACACATTTACAAGAAAAAAACAAACAGCCCCATCAAAATGTGGGTGAAGGATATGAACGGACACTTCTCAAAAGAAGACATTTATGCAGCCAACAAACATGTGAAAAAAAGCTCATCATCGATGGTATTAGAGAAATGTAAATTAAAACCACAATGAAATACCATCTCACACCAGTCATAATGGTGATCATTAAAAAGTCAGGAAACAACAGATGCTGGAGAGGATGTGGAGAAGTAGGAATGCTTTTACACTATTGGGAGTGTAAATTAGTTCAACCATTGTGGAAGACTGTGTGGCGATTCCTCAAGGATCTGGAACCAGAAATACCATTTGACCCAGCCATCCCATTACTGGGTATATACCCAAAGTATTATAAATCATTCTATAATAAAGCCACATGCACATGCATGTTTATTGTAGTGGTATTCACAATAGCTAAGGTTTGGAACCAACCAAAATGCCCATCAATGATGACTGGATAAAGAAAATGTGGCACATATACATCATGGAATACTATGCAGCCATAAAAAAGAATGAGTTCATGTCCTTTGAAGGGACATGGATGAAGCTGGAAACCATTATTCTCAGCAAACTAACACAGGAACAGAAAACCAAACACCACATGTTCTCACTCATAAGTGGGAGGTGAACAACGAGAACATATGGGCACAGGGAGGGGAACATCACACACCGGAGCCTGTCAGGGGGTGGGGCGCAAGGGGAGGGATAGCATTAGGAGAAATACCTAATGTAGATGACGGTTTGATGGGTGCAGCAAACCACGGTGGGACATGTATACCTATGTAACAAACTTGCACGTTCTGCACATTCCGCACATGTATCCCAAAACTTAAAGTATAATTAAAAAAGTAAAAAGTAAATAAATCTTTCTTTGTCTGCATGCACACACACACACACACACACACACACACAAACACACACACTCCTTTTATTGGTTCTGTTTCTTTGGATAACCCTGTCAAATACAGTTTGTTATTAAACATTTTGTAGATAAAAAATAAATTTATTGTGTCAAATTGAATAGTTTTTGAAATGTATTTGCATCAAATGATAGTAAACATTTGCCTGCCTTCTAGGAACTGTGAAAGATATGTCGATAGATCAGTCGATATCTCCATCCTCAGTAAGTTTCCAATTTAGTTGGGAAGACAAGACTTCATCTTGTAAAAAAATTAAGTAATAAAATTAGAGCAAAATAATCTAAGGACAAAGAGATGAAAAATTTTAGAAGATCTCTGATTAGTTGACAAATATTAGTTTAGAGATCAAATGCTATTAAATACAGTTGATCATTTTGGGTTAGGAAAAACTTAAGAAAGGAAAAAAGTCAACATTATTAAATAGTTTTAACCTGTAATCTCAGAAGATTCTCACAATTGCTCTTGTGGGATTAGGCACTATTATCTCTTTGTTCATCAGAATTTCTTATGTTATATTTATCCCACAGTCATAAAACATTAATAGGTAATGTCAGGAAATTTTGCTTCTATTTTCACTACGCTATGTTGCTGAGAAAATTTCGTGGAGGTAGGGCTGTAATAAGTCCTGGAGATTTAGGTATGCTACTTGCAAAGCTGAGTCAACAATGAGCAAAGGACAGTCATAGAACTCAGTTCTGATGTACTTTTATTTAGAGGAGTTTGTGGAAAAGGAATAAAGCAAAAGTCCTTGATATGAAGGTGAAAATAAAATATCATATTAATTTATTCCTGAATCATCAAGGCCTTGAATAATTCTGTCAAGGGTGTGCATAAAGTGGGTTTGACTAACTCAAAGATGCTAGGTTTTTGCGTCAGCCATGTCAATAGCTGACCTGTTTTCTACATTTGTGAGATATGTGAGCAGAGTATTTTTTCACTTTAGAAATGTTTTCTTGTTATCTTTTATCAGGGGATTGTGCTTGCTCCTACTTGTAAGTATCTTATGGGCATGATAAACTCATAGATAATGTTTCTCTAACATATCCTTTGGTTTATCATCAATATATTACACAACTTTTACAATCTCAGCTACAGACAATTAATTGTTGGAGCTAGGAGAGTCTTTGGAAATATATCACTTCCTTATAACTGGCTTGGTTTAGAATCAAGTATGTTTCTAGTCCAAAGGATCTAGTAAGAATTGATTTTCTTTTATCTATAAGATATATAAGGATTGTATTAGCCATTGGCTTACCTAGACAAGTTACAGTTCAAAATATTCAAAATTCGTCTTAGCACATCATCAAAGATCTGATTCTTTTACCTGCCTTCCCACACAATGTCATGGTGCTACTTGGGAGATTGAAGTGAATTCTAAATATAAAAATAAAAGACCTATCACATAGGGATGTAAAAAGCCATTCATGGAAACCTTTGTAAACCAAGGATCAGGATACTATGTTGTTCAGATCTACAATAAGTGTAGTTTTTGGCACCAGACATTGATAAAGTAGACCACTTATGCAGAAGAGGATGTATGAGAACAAAACATTTGTTGAGTAGTTGAAGGAGTTGGAGATATGAATATGATGGTTATCATTAAATATTTAGAGTTTTATCATGTGGAAGCAGTAGTAAAATCTTTCTACTTTATCTGTAATGAATTCAGAAAGCGTAATTCATGCCAATGTGTAGAGGCAAAATTCAGTTCAACGTAATTAAATAATGTAAAATAATACTTGTCTAATGAGCACAGTGTTCAGGAATGCATTCTTCTGGAAGTGTTGATGGCATACAAGCAGAGACGCTGAGGCTATACTGATGAATAAACTGTGTGTCTAATAAAATTAAATAATTAATTGAATGAACAAATTAATAGCTTCTTGGGTGATACTGGATGACTATGTCTGAGGTGTATTATTTCAAAACTTTGAAATTTACTAAGATTTAATTATGCATAATTTCTGGTCTGTCCTGGAGAATGTTTTGTGTTCATCTGAACTGATTGTGTGTTCTCCTGTTTTGGGGTACAGTGTTCTGTAGTTTTCTGTTAAGTCTAGTTGGGTTTTTTTGTTGTTTCTGTCTTCTATTTTTCTTTTGATTTTTTTTGCTTCTGTCAATTATTATAGGCAACATATTGAAGTCTCAATTATTGTTAAATTTTCTATCTTTTCAGTTCTGACAGTTTTTGTGTGATATATTTTGGGACTTTCTTGATATGGGCATATATTTTTATTTATTGTATTTTCCTGATGGATTGACCATTTATAATATTTATTGTATTTTCCTGATGGATTGACATCATAAATGTCCTTTTTTTCTAGTAATATATTTTGTCTTAAAGTCTGTTTTGTCTGATATTAATAGAGTGGTCTTCTCTTATCTGTTGGGGATATGTTTGAAGACCTTCAGTGGATGCCTCCAACCTTGGATAATTCTGAACACTATATATACTATGTTTTTCTCTTATACATATAGACTTACAAGAAAATTTAACCCTTACATTTGTCACAGTAAGAGATTAAGAACAATAACTAATAATAAAATAGAATAATTGTAATAATATAATAAAAGTTGTGTGATTGTGGTATCTCTCTCTGTCTCAAAATAGCTTAGTGTACTGTTCTCATCTTTTTTTGGACCATGGTTGACCATAGGTAAACTATGGAACGTGAAACAATCAGATAAAGGAGAACTACTGTATACCCATTATAGTCTCTTTTGGGTGTTTGTGTGATATATTCTCTTTGCATTTTTTACTTGAGCTCTGCTTCTGTCTTTGAATCTGAAGTGTTGGGTCATGTTTTTAATCCATTTTTCCATTTATGCCTTTTAATTGGAGTGCTTAATCCATTTACATTTAATTTAATGAATGATGAAGTAGAATTTATATCTCGTCATTTTATTATTTGTGTTCTGTATATCTTATGTCTTTTGTTTCTCTATTTCTTCACTACTATCATACTATTAGAAACAGTCTAGTGTACCATTTAAATTATTTTTAAAATTTATTTTACTATTTTTGAGTTATTTTCTTCTGTTAGCTCTGAGGATTAACCTTAACAGATAAAATACAGTTCAAATTAATAGCAACTTAAGTTTTAACAGTATACAAAAATTTGTTTCTATATAGCTTTCTTCTCTGCCTTATTTGGCTTCTTATTGTTATATAATTATATCTTAATGCATTGTATGCTCATAAATGTAAATTTATACTTACTGCTTTTTGTAGTTATCTTTTAAATCAGAAGAAAAAAGTTACAAACAAAAATAGGTTTATACTTTTTTCATATTATATCATTCTTTTTGCTGATGCTCTGTATTTCTTCTTCGGCATTCAAGTTACTATTAATATATAGGGTCCTTTCATTTCACTGTGAAGGAAGGAATCCCTTTAGTATTTTTTGTAGGTTTGATTTGCTAGTGTATTGGTCTATTGTTGCATTGCTATAAAGAAATACTTGAGACTGTTTAATTTACAAAGAAAAGAGGTCTAATTGGTTTACAGTTATGCAAGCAGTACAGGAAGCATAGCGGCTTCTCCTTCTGGAGAGGAATCAGAAAGTTTCCAATCATGGCAAAAGGCAAATGGGGAGCAAGGCATCTCACATGGTGGGAGCAGGAGCAAGAGAGAGAGAGAGAGGGTGGAGATGATATACAATTTTCAACAACTAGATCTCATGGGAATTCACTCACTATCATGAGAACAACATCAAGGAGATGGTGCTAAACCATTTATGAGAAACTGCTCTCATGATCCAACCACCTCCAATCCACATGCCACCTCTAACATTTAGGAGTTTGGTGGTGATACAGAGCCAAATGTTATCAGCTAGTGAGAAATTATGTTAGTGTTTTTATCTAAGACTATCTTTTTTTTTTATTATACTTTAAGTTTTAGGGTACATGTGCACAACGTGCAGATTTGTTACATATGTATACATGTGCCATGCTGGTGTGCTGCACCCACTAACTCGTCATTTAACATTAGGTATATCTCCTAATGCTATCCCTCCCCCCTCCCCCCACCCCACAATAGGTCCTGGTGTGTGATGTTCCCCTTCCTGTGTCCATGTGTTCTCATTGTTCAGTTCCTACCTATGAGTGAGAACATGCGGTGTTTGGTTTTTTTGTCCTTGCGATAGTTCGCTGAGAATGATGGTTTCCAGCTTCATCCATGGCCCTACGAAGGACGTGAACTCATAATTTTTTATGGCTTCATAGTATTCCATGGTGTATATGTGCCACATTTTCTTAATCCAGTCTATCATTGTTGGACATTTGGGTTGGTTCCAAGTCTTTGCTATTGTGAATAGTGCCACAATAAACATACGTGCGCATGTGTCTTTATAGCGGCATGATTTATAATCCTTTGGGTATATACCCAGTAATGGGATGTCTGGGTCAAATGGTATTTCTAGTTCTAGATCCCTGAGGAATCGCCACACTAACTTCCACAATGGTTGAACTAGTTTACAGTCCCACCAACAGTGTAAAAGTGTTCCTATTTCTCCACATCCTCTCCAGCACCTGTTGTTTCCTGACTTTTTAATGATGGCCATTCTAACTGGTGTGAGATGGTATCTCATTGTGGTTTTGATTTGCATTTCTCTGATGGCTAGTGATGATGAGCATTTTTTCATGTGTCTGTTGGCTGCATAAATGTCTTCTTTTGAGAAGTGTCTGTTCATATCCTTTGCCCAGTTTTTGTTGGGGTTGTTTGTTTTTTTCTTGTAAATGTGTTTGAGTTAATTGTAGATTCCGGATGTTAGCCCTTTGTCAGATGAGTAGATTGCAAAAATCTTCTCCCATTCTGTAGGTTTGACTGTTCAGTCTGAAGGTAGTTTCTTTTGCTGTGCAGAAGCTCTTTAGTTTAATTAGATCCCATTTGTCAATTTTGTCTTTTGTTGTCATTGCTTTTGGTGTTTTAGACATGAAGTCCTTGCCCATGCCTATGTCCTGAATGGTATTGCGTAGGTTTTTTTCTAGGGTTTTTATGGTTTTAGGTCTAACATTTAAGTCTTTAATCATCTTGAATTAATTTTTGTATAAAGTGTAAGAGAGGGATCCGGTTTCAGCTTTCTAAATATGGCTAGCCAGTTTTCCCAGCACCATTTATTAAATAGGGAATCCTTTCCCCATTTCTTGTTTTTGTCAGGTTTGTCAAAGATCAGATTGTTGTAGATATGTGGCATTATTTCCGAGGGCTCTGTTCTGTTCCATTGGTCTGTATCTCTGTTTTGGTACCAGTACCATGCTGTTTTGGTTACTGTAGCCTTGTAGTATAGTTTGAAGTCAGGTAGCGTGATGCTTCCAGCTTTGTTCTTTTGGCTTAGGATTGACTTGGCGATGCGGGCTCTTTTTTGGTTCCATATGAACTTTAAAGTAGTTTTTTCCAATTCTGTGAAGAAAGTCATTGGTAGCTTGATGGGGATGGCATTGAATCTGTAAATTACCTTGGGCAGTATGGCCATTTTCATGATATTGATTCTTCCTACCCATGAGCATGGAATGTTCTTCCATTTGTTTGTATTCTCTTTTATTTCGTTGAGCAGTGGTTTGTATTTCTCCTTGAAGAGGTCCTTCACATCCCTTGTAAGTTGGATTCCTAGGTATTTTATTCTCTTTGAAGCAATTGTGAATGGGAGTTCACTCATGATTTGGCTCTCTGTTTGTCTGTTATTGGTGTATAAGAATGCTTGTGATTTTTGTACATTGATTTTGTATCCTGAGACTTTGCTGAAGTTGCTTATCAGCTTAAGGAGATTTTGGGCTGAGACAATGGGGTTTTCTAGATATACAATCATGTCATCTGCAAACAGGGATAATTTGACTTCCTCTCTTCCTAATTGAATGCCTTTTATTTCCTTCTCCTGCCTAATTGCCCTGGCCAGAACTTCCAACACTATGTTGAACAGGAGTGGCGAGAGAGGGCATCCCTGTCTTGTGCCAGTTTTCAAAGGGAATGCTTCCAGTTTTTGCCCATTCAGTATGATATTGGCTGTGGGTTTGTCATAGATAGCTCTTATTATTTTGAGATACGTCCCATCAATACCTAATTTATTGAGAGTTTTTAGCATGAAGTGTTGTTGAATTTTGTCAAAGGCCTTTTCTGCATCTATTGAGATAATCATATGGTTTTTGTCTTTGGTTCTGTTTATATGCTGGACTACATTTATTGATTTTCGTATGTTGAATCAGCCTTGCATCCCAGGGATGAAGCCCCCTTGATCATGATGGATAAGATTTTTGATATGCTGCTGGATTCAGTTTGCCAGTATTTTATTGAGGATTTTTGCATCGATGTTCATCAGGGATATTGGTCTATGATTCTCTTTTTTTGTTGTGTCTCAGCCAGGCTTTGGTATCAGGATGATGCTGGCCTCATCATATGAGTTAGGGAGGATTCCCTCCTTTTCTATTGATTGGAATAGTTTCAGAAGGAATGGTACCATCTCCTCTTGTACCTCTGATAGAATTCAGCTGTGAATCCATTTGCTGTTGGCCTTTTTTTGGTTGGTAAGCTATTAATCATTGCCTCAATTTCAGAGCCTGTTATTGGTCTATTCAGAGATTCAACTTCTTCATGGTTTAGTCTTGGGAGGGTGTATGTGTTGAGGAATTTATCCATTTCTTCTAGATTTTCTAGTTCATTTTCGTAGAGGTGTTTATAGTATTCTCTGATGGTAGTTTGTATTTCTGTGGGATTGGTGATGATAGCCCCTTTATCATTTTTTATTGCATCTATTTGATTCTTCTCTCTTTTCTTCTTTATTAGTCTTGCTAGCGGTCTATCAATTTTGTTGATCCTTTCGAAAAACCATCTCCTGGGTTCATTGATTTTTTGAAGGGTTTTTTTATGTCTCTATCTACTTCAGTTCTGCTCTGATCGTAGTTATTTCTTGCCTTCTGCTAGCTTTTGAATGTGTTTTCTCTTGCTTCTCTAGTTATTTTAATTGTGATGTTAGGGTGTCAATTTTAGATCAGTCTTGCTTCTCTCCTGGGCATTTAGTGCTATAAATTTCTCTCTACCCACTGCTTTGAATGTGTCCCAGAGATTCTGGTATGTTGTGTGTTTGTTCTCATTGGTTTCAAAGAACATCTTTATTTCTGCCTTCATTTCGTTATGTACCCAGTAGTCGTTCAGGAGCAGTTTGTTCAGTTTCCATGTAGTTGAGTGGTTCTGAGTGAGTTTCTTAATCCTGAGTTCTAGTTTGATTGCACTGTGGTCTGAGAGACAGTTTGTTATAATTTCTGTTATTTTACATTTGCTGAGGAGTGCTTTATTTCCTACTATATGGTCAATTTTGGAATAGGTGTGGTGTGGTGCTGAAAAGAATGTATATTCTGTTGATTTGGGGTGGAGAGTTCTGTAGGTGTCTATTAGGTCTGCTTGGTGCAGAGCTGAATTCAATTCCTGGATATCCTTGTTAACTTTTTGTCTCGTTGATCTGTCTAATATTGACAGTGGGGTGTTAAAGTCTCCCATTATTATTGTGTGGGAGTCTACGTCTCTTTGTAGGTCTCTAAGGACTTGCTTTATGAATCTGGGTGCTCCTATATTGGGCGCCTATATATTTAGGATAGTTAGCTCTTCCTGTTGAATTGTTCCCTTTTCCATTATGTACTGGCCTTCTTTGTCTCTTTTGATCTTTGTTGGTTTAAAGTCTGTTTTATCAGAGACTAGGATTGCAACCCCTGCCTTTTTTTGTTTTCCATTTGCTTGGTAGATCTTCCTCCATCCCTTTATTTTAAGCCTATGTGTGTCTCTGCACGTGAGATGGGTTTCCTGAATACAGCACACTGATGGATCTTGCCTCTTTATCCAATTTGCCAGTCTGTGTCTTTTAATTGGAGCATTTAGCCCATTTATATTTAAGGTTAATATTGTTATGTAATTTGATCCTGTCATGATGATGTTAGCTGGTTATTTTGCTTGTTAGTTGATGCAGTTTCTTCCTAGCCTCAATGGTCTTTAGAATTCGACATGTTTTTGCGGTGGCCGGTACTGGTTGTTCCTTTCCATGTTTAGTGCTTCCTTCAGGAGCTCTTGTAGGGCAGGCCTGGTGGTGACAAAATCTCTCAGCATTTGCTTGTCTGTGAAGGATTTTATTTTTACTTCACTTATGAAGCTTAGTTTGGCTGGTTATGAAATTCTGGGTTGAAAATTCTTTTCTTTAAGAATGTTGAATATTGGCCCCCACTCTCTTCTGGCTTGTAGAGTTTCTGCCGAGAGATCCGCTGTTAGTCTGATGGGCTTCCCTATGTGGGTAACCCAACCTTTCTCTCTGGCTGCCCTTAACATTTTTTCCATTTCAACTTTGGTGAATCTGACAAGTATGTGTCTTGGAGTTGCTCTTCTTGAGGAGTATCTTTGTGGCGTTCTCAGTATTTCCTGAATCTGAATGTTGGCCTGCCTTGCTAGATTGGGGAAGTTCTCCTGGATAATATCCTGCAGAGTGTTTTCCAACTTGTTTCCATTCTCCCCGTCACTTTCAGGTACACCAATCAGACGTAGATTTGGTCTTTTCACATAGTGCCATATTTCTTGGAGGCTTTGTTCATTTCTTTTTATTCTTTTTTCTCTAAACTTCTCTTCTCTCTTCATTTCATTCATTTGATCTTCCATCACTGATACCATTTCTTCCAGTTGATCGAATCAGCTACTGAGGCTTGTGCATTCCTCATGTAGTTCTCGTGCCATGGTTTTCAGCTCCATCAGGTCCTTTAAGGACTTCTCTGTATTGCTTATTCTAGTTAGCCATTCTTCTCATCGTTTTTCAAGGTTTTTAACTTCTTTGCCATGGGTTTGAACTTCCTCCTTTAGCTCAGAGTAGTTTGATCGTCTGAAGCCTTCTTCTCTCAACTCGTCAAAGTCATTCTCCATCCAGCTTTGTTCCATTGTTGGTGAGGAACTGCGTTCCTTTGGAGGAGGAGAGGCGCTCTGATTTTCAGACTTTTTAGTTTTTCTGCTCTGTTTTTTCCCCATCTTTGTGGTTTTATCTACCTTTGGTCTTTGATGATGGTGACGTACAGATGAGGTTTTGGTATCGATGTCCTTTCTGTTTGTTAGTTTTCCTTCTAACAGTCAGGACCCTCAGCTGCAAGTCTGTTGGAATTTGCCAGAGGTCCACTCCAGACCCTGTTTGCCTGGGTATGAGCAGCAGAGGCTGCAGAACAGCAGATATTGGTGAACAGCAAATGTTGCTGCCTGATCGTTCCTCTGGAAGTTTTGTCTCAGAGGAGTACCCGGCCGTGTGAGGTGTCAGTCTGCCCCTACTGGGGGGTGCCTCCCAGTTAGGCTACTTGGGGGTCAAGGACCCACTTGAGGAGGCAGTCTGTCCTTTCTCACATCTCTAGCTGCATGCTGGGAGAATAGCTACGCTCTTCAAAGCTGTCAGACAGGGACATTTAAGTCTGCAGAGGTTTCTGCTGCCTTTTGTTTGGCTATGCCCTGCCCCCAGAGGTGTAGTCTACAGAGGCAGGGAGGCCTCCTTGAGCTGCGGTGGGCTCCACCCAGTTTGAGCTTCCTGGCCATTTTGTTTACCTGCTCAAGCCTGGGCAATGGTGAGCGCCCCTCCCCCAGCCTTGCTGCTGACTTGCAGTTTGATCTCAGACTGCTGTGCTAGCAATGAGCGGGGCTCCGTGGGCGTAGGACCCCCGATCCAGGCACGGGATACAATCTCCTTGTGTGCCATTTAGTAAGACTGTTGGAAAAGCTCAGTGTTAGGGTGGGAGTGACCCAATTTTCCAGGTGCCTTCAGTCACCGCTGTCCTTGGCTAGGAAAGGGAATTCCCTAATCCCTTTCTCTTCCCGGGTGAGGGGATTCCTCGCCCTGCTTCGGCTCATACTTGGTGCGCTGCACCCACTGTCCTGCACACACTGACCAACAGTCCCTAGTGAAATGAACCTGGTACCTCAGTTGGAAATGCTCACGCTCGGTGCACTGCACCCACTGTCCTGCACCCACTGACCAACAGTCCCTAGTGAGATGAACCCGGTACCTCAGTTGGAAATGCAGAAATCATTCGTCTTCTGTGTTGCTCATGCTGGGAGCTATAGAGTGGAGCTATTCCTATTCGGCCATCTAAGACTATCTTTTTTTATAAAAAAGTTTTGATGGTAAGTTTTGCTAATGGAATTCTGAGTTGAAAGTCTTTTCTTTCAGCACTCTGAATATGTCATCCTACTGCCTTCTGGTTTTCATGATTTCCGATAAGGAATTACTAGGATTTTGTTACAAATATCAACTTTTATTTTATATGCAGGAGTACACATACAGATTTGTTATCTGGGAATATTGTATGGTGCTGAAGTTTGAAGTTTGGATCCCATCACCCATCACCAATGACCACAGAACCTGGTTCTTAGTTTTTCAGCTCTTGCCCCTGTCTCTCTCTCCCACCTCTAGTAGTCTCCAGTATCTATTTTCCCATCTTTATGTCCATGCGTACCCAATGTTTAGCTACCACTTATAAGTGAAAAATACTGTTTTTGGTTTCTGTTTCTGTGTTAGTTCACTTAGGATAATGGCCTCCAGCTGCATCCATGTTGCTGCAAAGGACATGATTTTATTTTTTTTATTTCTGAGTAGTGTTTCATGGTATATATGTACCGCATTTTCTTTATCCAATCTAGCATTGATGGGCATCTGGGTGGATTCCATATCTTTGCTATTTGAATAGTGCAGCAACAAGCATATAAGTGCATGTTTCTTTTTGGTAGAATGATTTATTTCGTTTTGAGTATATACCCAGGAATGAAATTGATATATTGAATGGTAGCTCTTTTTTAAATTCTTTGAGAAATCTCCAGACTGGTTTCCATAGTGGCTGGACTAATTTACATTTTCACCAACAGCATATAAGCTATCCCTTTTCTCTGCAGCTTTGCTTTGCCATCATGTTTTTTTTTTAAACTTTTTAATAGCCATTGTTAAAATGTCAAATTGTCTGACTGGTGTCAGATGGTATCTCATAGTGGTTTTGATTTGCATTTCTTTGATGAGTAGTTATGTTGTTAATTTTTACCTATGTTGGTTGGCCATTTTTATGTGTTCTCTTGAGAACTGTCTGTTCATGTCCTTTGCCCATTTCTTAATGAAGTTTTTTTTTTTCCCTTGTTGATGTAAGATTCCTATAGATTTGGGAAGTTACACCATTGTCAGATGCATAGTTTGCAAGTATCTTCTCCCATTCTATAGGTTGTCTGTTTGCTCTGTTGATAGTTTATTTTGCTGTGCAGAAACTCTTTAGTTTAATTAGGTCCCACTTGTCTCTTTTAGTTTTAGTTGCAGTTCCTTTTGGGGACTTAGCCAAAAATTCATTGTCAAGGTTGATGTCGACACTACTTTTGCTGCATCCCAAAGGTTTAGTATGCTGTGTTTTAATTTTTGTTTGTCTAAACATGTTTTGAAATTTCCCTTTTAGTTTTTCAATTGATCCATTTGTTATATAGGGCAGGTTTTTTAATTTCCATGGATTTTTGAATTTTCTGAAATTTCTTTTGTTATTGATTTATAATTTTGTATCATTGTGGTTGTAAAAAATACTTGATGTAATTCCAATCTTCTTAAATTTTTTAAGACAAAAAAGAAAAGAAATTAGAGGTTACTCTTGCTGAGGATTTCTTGTTAATGACGAGTCACTCTTCTCTTGCTTTTTTTCAAGAGCCTTTCTTTGTCTTTGTCTTTCAAGTGTTTGATTATAATGTGTCTAAGGATCTCTAAGTTTATTCTACTGGGCTTTGAATTTCTTTGATGTGTATACTAATGTTTTCATCAAATTTGGGAAGTTTTCAGGCAGTATTTCGTTAAATATTCTTTTCCCTTTTTTCTTTATTTCCTCTCCTTCTGAGATTGCCAGTATGTGCATGTTGATGTGCTTGATGGTTTCCCAAAGATTTCTGTGGCTCTATTAAATTTTTTTCATTTTTTTTCTCTGTTGCTAGATTGGAGATTTCAGTTGACCCATCTTTAAATTTGCTGTGGCTTTCTTTTGCCTGGCTTGCTGTTGATACTTTCCAGTGATTTTTGTTTTTCAATTAAGTTGTTCTTTTTAATTCCATTATTTTTATTAGGTTATTTAAAAAATACTCTGTCTTTATACTTCTATCTCCTCATAGTACTGTCTTTTGAAGAGATGTCTTAAGCTTTGGTGAAATCCAGTTATTACTTTTTTTACGGATTCTTTTTGGTGCCACAGCTAAAACACTTTGCCCAAGGTAGTATCACAATGATAGTCTCCTGTGTATTTCCTTTTTAATATTGTGTAGCTCTTATGTTAGGTGTGTAGTCCATTTTAGTTAATTTTTCTGTATCTTGTAAATGTATTCATTTCCTGTTGCTGGTATATTACATATCACATAGTGCTTTAAAACAACATGCATTTTTTTATCTTATATTTTTTGATATAAGAGTTTGAAATGGGTATTACAATGATAATATAAAATTATAGGATCACATTTCTTCTGGAGGATCAATGGGAGAATACATTTTCTTGCCTTTTTCCATCATCTAGAGGCCGACTGCATTCTTTGACTCATGGGTCTTTTCTCTTCAAAGGCACAAGAATAGCATCTTAAAATCTGTCTCTCTCTCTCTACACACACACACACACACACACACACACACACACACACCCACACACCTCTACCTCTTTGTTTTAAGGACATTTGTGATTGCAATGAGCTTACCTGGATAATCCAGGATAATCTTTTGATGTTATGGTCTTACTGTAATCACACCTGCAAAAAACGTTTGGTATTGTGTAAGATATATTCACCAGTTTCAGGGATTAGAACGTGGACTTTTGTGGGGCTGATTATTCTACCTACTACAATATGGGTATAATAATAATTGTTATTGTCTTGCATCTTGATGCACAGTTGTCTGGCACCATTTCTTGGAAAGACTATTCTTTCCTCTTTTAACTGATTTCACATCTTTGTGGAAGACAAATTGATTATATAGATGAGAATTTATTTTTCAACTCTCAGATATGTTCTATTGATCTATATGCCTATCCTTGTATCATCACTGAAATATTTGGTTACTGTGGCTTTATACTAAGTTTTGAAATAAAATAATATAAGTTTCCCATGATTATTATTATTTTTAAAATTTTTTGCTATTTGCTATTATAGATTATTTTAATATATATAAAGTTTAATATCAACTTGTCAATTCCTATAAAAACCCTGTTGGCATTTTGATAGGGATTGAATTAAAGTTACACATGAACTTAGGGGAAAATTGATATTGAGACTATACTGGTTCTTCAGTCCTGTTTATTTGGATCTTAATTTCTCCAAAGCCATTTTTTTTATAGCTTGCATTGTACAAGTCTTGTACTTTTTAAATTAACTTTATTTTTAATTTTTTGGATACTGTTATGAATTGAATTTTTCTTCATTTTAATTCCCAATGTTTTATTGCTAATATACAGGACTACAATAGAATTTCATATATTGCTCTTAGATTCTATGTCCTTTATAAACTTGCTTATTAGTCTCCGTACTTTTTCTGTAGATTCCTGAGGTCTTCCAAATATAGGATCACATCATCTGTGAATAGGAACATTTTTACTTTTTTCTTTCCAATTTACATTTCCCCCTTTCTCTCTCTCTGTCTCTCTGTCTCTCTCTCTCTCCCCTCTCCCCTCTCCATGGCACTAGTTATAACCTCCATTCTAATATTAATAGCAAGAGTCAACATTCTTGTTTTGTTCCTGATCTTTGGGGGCAGATTATTTTTTTCCCCTTAATGTATGATGTTAGCTGTAGCCCACATATACAGTTTGAGGAAATTGCCTTCTACTCATAGTATATCAAGAACTATATTATGAATGAGTGTTGAATTTGTGTAGTGCTGTGCTTTTTCTCCATTTGTTGAAATGGTCTTATTATTTTAATACTCTTCTATAGTAGTATGGTGTGTTATATTAGTTGATTTTTGGATATGAAACCAATGTTGCATCCTTGGGATGAATTCTACTTAGTCATAGTGTATAATCCTTTCAATATTTTAAAGGATTTAGTCTATTTGCTAATTTTTTGGATAAAAATTTTGCAGTCTATTATTATGAGGCATATTAGTTATTAGTTTTCTTGTGGGGCCATTGCCTGGCTTTGGTTGTAGAGTAAAAAGGTGAAATCTTTGTCCCCACATGGCAGAAAAGCAGAACAGTGAGACTATACTTCTACAGGCTTTTTAAAAATAGTGGCATTAATCTATTAATGAAGGCAGAGTCCTCATGACCTAAACACCTCTCTGAAGGCCCCACCTCCCATCACTGTTGCAATGGGGATTCAGTTTCCAACATGTGAATTTGGGGGGATACAACAAGACTACAACTCAGGCTCTCACCATACACTGGATTCACTGGCTCCTTCATCTTGGACTTCCTAGCCTCCAGAAGTACAGAAATAATGTTCGTTGTTCAAGCCACCCAGCCTGTGATAATTTGTTATAAACAGCCCAGTCAGCAATGTCAGCTAAGATGTCAAATTTCTTATACGATATTGTGCCTTTTAGAGAAAAGTAGAAATGAGAAAAACATCTTTACCCACATGTTTACCATTTCTGTTGTTCTTCGTTTCTTACTGTAAATTGAATTTACCTCTTGGTACCATGTTCTTTCACTTGAAAGACTTTCTTATTATTTCTTGCATGTCATGCCTGCTAACAACGACTTGTCTCAGTCTTAATCTTGGAAAGTCTCTACTTTTCCTTCTTTTTTAAAAGGATAGTTGGGTGGTTATAGAATTTTTTGTTGAAAGTAGTTTTCCTTCAGCATTCTGACTATGTCATCCTACTGCCTTCTGGCCTCCTTTGGCTCTGATGAAAGTCAGTTGTTAATCTTATTGGGGTTCTTTGTATGTGATAAGTTATTTCCCCTTTTTAATTTTTTTCCTTTTTAATATTTCCCTGTTTTTAATATTTTCCTTTATGTTTGGTGTCAGCAGTTGGGCTCATGATGTGTCTAGGTTTATGTCTCTTTATTTTTGTGTTATATGAAGTTTATTAAGAATCCTGGATCTGTAGATTCATGTTTTTTACTAGATTTTAGAAGCTTTGAGCTGTTAAATCCTTTCTTCCCATTTCATTCTCTCTCCTCTCTTTGGGGTAAATACTATTACACACATGTTGGTAAACTTGCTGCACTGGAGATCTTTGAGGCTTAGTTCATTTTTCTTCAAAAGTGTTTTTCATTCTTTAGATTTGATATTTTCTGTCTTTCATGTATACTGATTTTTCTTCTGTCACCTCAAATCTACTGTTTATCCTTTCTACTGAATTTTTATTCTAGTTATTGTATTCTTCCACACTAGAATTTCCATTTGGTTATTTTATAATTTCTGTATCCTTTTTGGGACTCTCTAATTGTTCATTAGTATTTATCATAATTTATTTCATAAACATAGTTTTCTTACAGATGCTTTGAAGTCTTTGCCTGTTAAATACAGGTCTGAGACACTCATAGATTTTATTGCCTAAGTTTTATCTGATTTAGTTACATTTTTGTTTCTTTGCTTGTCTTTTAAATTTTTGTTGAGAATTAAAAGTTTTGTATAATTTTTGTAGTTTAGGTTCTTTTCAATTATTCTCTGGGTTTCAGTTTCTGCTAGACCTTTTTTATTTTCCTATGTTCATGTGGGCAGCCTTAGGATAAACCAAGAGTCTTGAAATAACTTGGGTCTCTCTGCCTCCACTGTGGATGTACACAGTCTTAGCCAAGACTATGCTTGTCCCAGTCAGGGCTGTACTTCAAGCTGGTAGAGTTGCACCCTTTACCCTTTCTTGCTAGCCAGTTTTTGGTAAGTAATTTCTGCTGACAATACCCCTGGAAGTGGTCATCACTTTTCCAAATTGAGTAAGACCTCTTCAACCATGGCAGAAAAATTACTGTAGGTCCTTATGGCCTGCCTTACATAGCAGATTTTTCAGGCCAAATATTCCTGGGGGCAAGTATGGGAGCAGCTCCAGTCTAGAATGTCAGTTTCCCTCTATTCTTACTGTTAGTTAAGTAGTTTTCAAATTCAAATCCTTCTCTGATTTTTGTATACCTTTAAGAAACTATTCTTTTTATCATGTATATTCACGTTTACAATTGCTTTTTGGGGGAGAATTTGCCTATCTCTTCAATTGGCCGTAGGTATTACTTCCAGTTTCATATTTATACTTTTCAAGGTATTAATTTTGAAGGTTGCTATTTTTTTTCCCTTCACCTTTATGAAAAGGTACATATATTTAGAGTACTTCCTGGAATAATAGATATTTTAAATAATTACCAAAGAGTTTCTAGAAATGATTGCTTTCTTTTGTTGCTTATACTTTTATAAGCCCTTGATGCCTAATTGATATGTTTCATGACTCTTTATTTTTTCCTTGAGATTTAACGTATTTAAAACAGAAGCTGACCCAAAATCTTAACTGTATGTAATCTGTATTATTTGATTCAGCACGTATTTATTATTCGTCTGCTGTGTATATCTGGCATAATTTTTTAAACTAACAACATAAATAAATAAGCCTTTGTACAGTGCTTTATGTTTTACAAAACAATCTCACTATATCAGTCAGGATTCTGGGACTGTTCACAAGGGCATGAGGGGGTTTAGGGCAATTAAGATGGCATGTTTTAGTAATTCTTAGGCTGCTAATAATACAGAACTATTTGCCATACTGGGGTTGATGGAGAAATGAGAGGAAGTGATTATAGGAGTCATGGGGAAGACTAAATGTAAAGAAGGACACCTGATAGGAGCTTTGGTCTTCAGTAGAAGAGCCAACAACTTGTAACTAGGCAGAGAGGGAGCCAAGGGAATAAGTACTTTGTCCTCACACTTTCTGTCTTTCATCTGTGTCTGATGCTTTCCATTAACCAAACCCAACCAGAAGCTGGAGAATAAGGGAGCCCATTGATGTAGTCCATAGAAGTCAGCCTCCTGCAACACAAAGCAGGGAGTAGAATGCAGAGAATGGCTCTGGAGGGACAAATGGAAGATATTCAGTATACTTACCTTCATTCATTAATAAATATTATTAATTCTGTCCACAAAATTGGCTATCACGTATTGACACAGGATTTGTTCTGTGCCACTTCGCCAGCCAGAAATCTCCACGGGGTGGATGATGCCTCTGCCTGGGCTTTGCTGGAGCCTACCGGGTTTGCTCTCCTCACTTGATCTGGCAGGCTGTAGTTGGCTTATGCTACCAGCCCAAATCTTGAGCCTGCTGTGGCTCTGTGCTTCGCCCAGGGCTGGATCAAGCATGCTGCAACTGGCTTCCATCTTGGGTGCCAGCATCTAGATGAGGTGGACATGGCAGCACCTGAAAACTCAGAGATACCAGCAACTGCAGAGCCCCAAGGGGTTGTCACAGCTTCTGTCACTCCTTGGGGAGTCCCAAGGTCTGAGCCCCCAGGGAATGCCATAGTTCTGTCTCTCATTCCCGACTGGCAGCTGGGTGAATGGGGGCATGTCATAGTTCTGGCTTGGGGAGTCCCGAGGTCTGGGCCCCCAGAAGGGTTGCAGCTCTTCACTCCCATAGTCTGGTGAATGGGAGCATGTAACAGCTCTTTTTATTCACACCATCCGCAGCTCGGTGAGCTGGCCTGGAGTGTGTTACTGCCCTTTTTAGCTCCTGCTCTTTGGTGGGTTCTGGGTTCTTGTCCCGTGACCAAGAAGAATAGGGCATGCAGACACTGGAGAATGAGCAAGGCAGAAAATAATTTTATTGAGTGACAGGAAAGCTCTCGACAACAAGAGGGGACCTGAAGTGGGTAGCCCACTGTGTGAGAGGAGGCCCAGAAGTGAGAAGCCATCTGTGTGGCTGAGTCCAGGGTTTTTACAGGTTTGGAATCAGGAGGCCCCAGCTGTAGGTAACCTTGAAAGAGGCAGCGTTTGATTGGTTAAAAACCATTATCCAGAAAGAACCAATGAGGAAAGAGTGGGAAACAGAAATAGAAGTTCTCACTCGGGTCATGGACTCTATCTGGGACTGGCAGCTCAGCTCATTTTCAGGCTTTAAATTGTCTTTTGTTTGAAGGTTGGGTTTCACCAGGGACCCTCCCCTGTCTGCCTAGGACAGGGATGGGTCGCTGCTGTCTGTCTCTTGCTGCTATCAATATATCTCATTTTTTAAAATTCCTACTACCACAGACTTATTAATTCGGATCTTTATAATCTCTTGATTATATGATGGAAACAGTCTGTTTCTTTTTTCAGACTTCCCTCAAATATATATTGCTGCTAGTTATGCTAGATGTTTAACCTGGGTCTTCCGACATCAGTTTCTTCCGTATGTCCACCTTCCCTCCCACTAACCCTATTGTTTTGAGTTCACTTACATTTTTAAGAAAGAAAATAATTGAGGATTTTGGGGGGGTTAATCTCAATTGTAAAGTTGAAAAAATTGCCTCCTTGATTTTATGCTCTTGAAATTCACATGTAGAGCTTTACTACATCTTCTCATCTGTATTTTCATTTTTTATTTGAACTTTTTTTGGAATATTTCAGTGGAAATATAAAATTCGGTTTCTTAATTATCTTGGACTTGAGGCTCAAATGGTGAAATAATTTTGCTAGGCCAGGCTGTTCTTTGCTTGTTTTTGTTTAAAGAATTTGTATAGATTGAAATGCAGCTGCGAGTGTATTTAGTGATTTTCTGCTGCTTACTTGTCAAGATTTTTATTGTTTGGATGAAAAATAGCATTTCAAAACCTGGCAGCATATTGACAAAAACAGAGGAGCACTTTGTGTAATTCTCTTTTTGAAAAACTACCTCTTTAAAAGACAAAGATTGCCTCTGTTACTTTTATTCACATGTATCTCTAACAATAGATTTATTGACAGCTCTTAGATAAGGTTTAATTCTCTGCCCTCCCCGGTTCATGATTGTGTGCACTTTTCTGTATGGAGAGAGGTACATTAGGAAAACATAAGTGAACATACAATATGGAGGCACCCTAGGTGTATAGGCGAAGCATTTGACATTTTGTTACTAATCTTTGACAGGTTCAGGGCTGTTTCTTTTCTTTTTTTGTTTTGTTTTGTTTTAGAACGGTTTCATTTGAGAGTACAAGCCTGCCCTTTGAAGACTCCTGAACTGGGAATGGACAGTTGAGCTGAATAATTCCTGAGTCTTCCAAACTATGCTGGCAACTCAGTTATTCCTCAGTTCCATTCTAGTTGGCTTCTTACTAGGAGCAGAACAGGAAGATGGCTCTCTATTGCTAGGCTCCTTTTCTCTTCCTGTTTTTCTTCCCTCTTCTCTCCCCACATGCCTTCTCAGCCCCATATTCCTGTTTACCTCACCAAAAGAGTGTGTCATCGCATTTCTGAGCTGGGTATGGCACATCATTACAAACTTGTTTCCTGTATCATTTCTGGCAAGCTCATTACAAACTAATAGTGGCCCACACTCAAGTGCACTTCCTCTGGGAACAATAGCTGTAAATAAGAAGGCACTGCAAGCTGGCTGCTAAGTTGTTCTGAAGACAGAGGTGCTTTTTAGAAGAATGTTTGACCTTTTTAATATTGCCTCAGGCCTATCTAAGACCCTCAAGGTCTATTTCTCATCTTAAAAATCCTCTGTAGAGAAACACAGTGTGTAGTTTAAGAAGATCTTTAAATTGTATGACAGCTCTCTATTATCTTTCTGTACCTTTAAAAATGTAATTGTAGTTATGCTGGGTAATCTCCCTGTTATTTTGCAAAATGGATTTTCCTTCTTCCGGTAACAGATACTTTTTTAACAACGTGGGAAGCAATATTTTGAATATTTTATGAAAGCTAAATATATAGGGCAGGAGTACTTTAATATATAGGAAGAAAAGGAACATTTTGTGCAACTTGAAAACTACTTTGGGGCTAATAAAACCCTTAAGTTTTATCATTTATTCTTCCATCAAGGTAATTGTCAGCTTTGATTTGAGTGGCTATGCAAAACCCCTTTTCAATACTCTTTTTTCATGTGTGTTGCTGGGAATATCTCATTGAACCTCAAAATGGAGAGTTTTCAGAAAACATTATTTCACCTTGGGGAATATGGGTATAATAATAATAATAAGTCATAATGTTTTAATCCACTTAGTAAACCTCTATAGTGTCAAATACTTGGAGTTTTTATGGGATACCTGCAAATTTTTCCAGAAGATAGGGACTATTGGCTTCTAAGATGGACTCAACCAAATTTTCTGTTAATGAGCAGCCCTCTACTTTCTGAGAAAGCAGAAAGCTTCACAGGCTTATTAGTCTCTGACTGAATCAGCAATGTCAATGAAGGCAGCAGTTCTTGTATTTGGTAGATACGTTATATTGTTTCCACCTAAGCTGCATTATTTTTCCCTTTCATAAAAATAATGTCAATCATATGCATTTCAATAGATATTTTCAAACGTTTTAATTGGTTCAAATTTCTGTTAAAATAGCCTCAGAGACTCTTAATACATTATTTTCGAGTGTTCTTTCTCATATGGAAAGAGATATTCCCTGGATGTAATGCTTTTATGTCAAATACAGAAATGAAATTTCTGTCTTTATTCTTCTAAATCATTAATTGCTATTGTTATGCACTTTTTCTCTCTATATATATATCCCAGTCTTGTGGAAAGAAAAATTTAGTGGTTATTGAATATTGCCATTTGAATAATTCATGGCTTGAATAATCTAAGTTTAAGGTCAAACTTGACATTTCTAAAAATTTTACTTCATACATTGTTTTCTTCCTGTAGCACGTATTATCATTAATATGTCATTAATATTCTAGTTGCTAAGCTAGAAGTCTCAACTTGTCACCCTCAACTAGTCTTTTACTCTCACAGTGGTTGATACAGATTGATGTGGTTGGCTGGATAATAATTTATCCACTTCCTCTACTGATAACAGATTACTTTTCTCTAAGAGGATCAAGAGATAACTTGGGTAACTCATGGTATTTTGGCCACTGTATTGTAGGGTGGGCATATGACCTGAGTTGGGTCAAAAGAGGCTTACTCAAGAGTTTTTGTTTAAAAAAAATTGCAAATAGAGAGGTCTTTTCTTGCCTTTAGTTAGAATAATGTGATTTGGAGCTTTCTGTGGCCATATTCCTCCTCCATGTGTAGTAAGCTTTTCTACAGTGGGAGAGAATTAAGTGAATAAACATTGATGAAGGATGGGGAGAAAATATAAGCAACATTTAAATTATCTGTGCCATCCCCAAGGTCCTTAGAGTTGTGCTGGTTCCTGTAGTTTGTTTTATTTTTATTTATTTATTTTTTATTTCTGAGAGCTGCCAGTTTTTGCTTAAGCTTATGTGAGTTGAGTTTAAGTCACTTACAACTCAGAAAGTCCTGACCTTTGCAGTCATTAAAAAGATATGCAATAATATTTCATAAATTTGTTAATATTTCCTTCTCATCATTCACACTGCCACTGCTTTGGTTAGGGTTTCTATTGTCTCATACTCTCTGCCATTCCTTAAACTCATCCTGCCAGTCATTCTTCCACTCTATTGAGCCATAATTCTAAACATTTTAGCACATTATTTTCCTATTTAATATTCTTTAATGGCACTGCAGACCAAATTTTTAGACCTGACTTGTGTTAAGATTTGACTCTTGCATCTCCTTTATCATTTCTCACCATTTTTCTATATATTTTATGCTTAAGCCACACCTTAAAAATGCCACTTTTAAATTATGCCATTCTAGTTAACATATCTGTGATTTTGCACACATTTTTTCCCTTTGCCTAGAATTCTATCTTCTCTGAATCCCAACCACCTTGATCTGATAAACTTCTACTACCCTTTAAAACTCAAATGTCCTCCACACAGAATAATTCTACCGTCATTGTCATTATACTTGCTTCACTATATTTATAGTGTTTCTCTTATTTGTCTCTCCCTCAACCCCCACCAGCCCTCAGACTATAAGCCACTTAAGATCTGAAACTCTAAATCACCTTTTTGTTTCCAGCATCCAGTATTTATTTAGTTTCCTTTTTCACTTAGAGATCATCTTTTCTGAACCTGTATAAAATATGTGGCTTATTATTCAGCAAATATTTATTCTTTTCAGTTTCTCACTGTAGTAAGGATATATATTCTTACTCCTTTGATTTTGGGCTTTGTCACATGATTTTCTTTGGTCAGTTGAATGCCTGCTTGAGCCCAGGAGATGGAGGTTGCAGTGAGCCAAGATCGCGCCTCTGCACTCCAGCCTCGGAGACAGAGCAAGACCCATCTCAAAAAAAAAAAAAAAAAAAAACCCACAAAGGAAAAGAACATTAATGGATATGACTTCAACAGAGGCCTTAAATGTGCTTTTTGAGTAATTTGGCTTTAGCATGCTGGTGATTTGCCATAAGAACAGGTATATGAGAGACATGTTGAATATACCTTGTTTCAGCCTCATCCTAGAGCCAACCACAGCCTACCTACAGCCTAAAGCAGAGCTGGACAGCCCAGCATAGATCAGCGAAACCACAACCTGCAAACCTATGAGCTTGAGAATAAATACTTACTGTTGTAAGCCACGGAGATTTCTGGTAGGCTCAAACACAGCATTATTTCGCTGTTAGCTTGCAGATACATATTCATTTTATAGATTTGAAACAATTTGTAGCCAGAAAAGTTTTGACATGAACTCAGCAAGCCCTTAATAGCACTTGCTAAGCTTACAGTGCTCCACCAAATGTTATGGGAATAGGAAAGAGTAATTCAGAGAGATACATATATTAACATAGATGCATCTTTCTTGTAAGGTAAACATTTTCCTAGAGCCTCACATATGCAGGAGTTTCACATGATGAAGTCCATTATATTCTGACAGGAGAGGAAAATGTCATTTTAGTAGGAAAATAATAAAAACAAGTGCTTTTATTCCCTTTTTCTTCCCTCCTGCTCTTCCCTCCCCTCCCCCATCCCTTCCCTTTTCTTCCCTTCTTTTTTCTCCTTTCCTCATTTCTTCATTTCTTCTTTCCATCCACTTGGGCTGTCATAACAAAATACCATGGACTGCATGCTTATACAACAGAAATTTATTTTCTCACATTTCTGGAGGCTGCAGAGTCCAAGATCAAAATTCTGGCAGTGCTCAGTTTCTTGTGAGAGCTACCTTCCTGACCTTCTTCTTGCCACGTCCTCGCATGATTTTTCCTTGGGGGACAGATATATATATATATCTTTCTGGTGTCTCTTCTTATAAGAACACTAATCCTGTTGGATCAGAGCCCCACCCTTATAACCTCATTTAACTTTAATCACCTCCTTACAGGTACTATCTCCAAGTACAGACAAATTGGGGGTTAGAGTTTCAACATATGAATTTTGAGGGGATACAAACATACAGTCCTTGACAGCAGTTAATAAGAATGGAATACTTTTATCCATAAACCGGATTAAGTTCTCTATTGTTTGCTTCTATGATAATAGAGACATACATCTCCTTTATAACACTCATCACACTTGAAGTGATTCAATTAATGTCAGTCTTCTCTATGAGAGCATAAAACCTAAGGAAAGGGACTATGTCTGTCATGTTTGCTGTTATAGCCACAACAATAATTATATGTTGACCTACAGTTTGTAGTCAATAAATACTTGTGGAGCAAGTATTTTATAAAATATAGGGTTTGATTAATTTACTTTCCAAACAACAGCATTAAGAGGTTTCATATATAAGTTTTACTACTTTCAGAAAGTGCTTCTTGAACATTTCCATTAGATGTAAGAACAAATGAGAGTGCCCTACACTGTTTGGGGTCCAGAGTGGGATTTTGTTCTTGAAGTATATCATCCAATACCCCTTTTCTTGGGCTACTTGCTGAGAGTTCCAAAATCTCAAAGAAAAGTGGAAAACTAAATAATGCCTTATTACTGGTTGGGTAAGCAAATAAGAGATCTTTTATCCCTAATCATTCCTATTCTACCCTTACTCTACTGACTGACATAAACTATTGGACTTCTCTGGTAAGCATGATTGAATAAGAAGCTTAGGCCTGGAATCCTGATGGCTTATTCTGCTTCCTCTTCACTGAATTTCTTCTGGTTTCCATGCATATAGAAGATATCATATGCACATAATTCATTCAGTAAATGAAAGCTGAATTTCATGGAGGTTAAGTAACTTGCCCAAAGTTACATGGGTTGGTGAGTGTTAGAGCACAGCTTTAAAACTATGACTTTCTGACTCATCGCTAGTGTTTTCAATCACTTTGCCATGTGATGGATATTATAAATAATAAAGAAAGTGATAAGAAAAGATGATGGGGAAAGATTAATTCTTCTGGAAAATAATCTTGGAAAAACTGGCAATTTGAGTAAGGCCCTGAAGGCTTTGATGACCAGACATAGCTTGTGAGAGGGCTCATAACTGTGGAATAGCTTGAGGAAATGTGCCAAGATTGTATATCTTTGTGGAAACAGTAAATAAAACTGTATAAAGAAATAGGAGATCAAGTGGTAGATAAAGTTGTACAGATATCTAGAGGTCAAATTGTAGAGGCTTTATGCGGCAGGCTGATTTTGCATTTTATTCTCTAGGTGGCAGAAAAGGGAGTATAGGCTCAATGGAAATTAGATGATAAGAGAATGGGAGGCTTGCTGGCGTTAGAAGCAAGAGGCATGAAGACCTTTCAGGAGTTTGTTTTTCTGACCTAAATAAATAAACTGAGGCAAAATTAATATAGAGAGCTTATTTGAGCCAAGGTTAAGGACTACGGCCTGGCTAACACTGTTGAGTGCTCTGGGAAAACAAAGGAGAGGCTCAAGATTTTAAAGAAAGAAAGGACAAATTAGGAATGGGAGTGATTAGAAAAGTTGTTTTTCAGGGATTGTCATTGATTTCTGGAAATAACATTGATTAGTGATTGGCTGCACGTTGTTGAAAAAAAGGATAAGAGTTATGTGCCCAGCATATGGTATTAGGTTAATTTATAAACTGTTGGTGGCGACACTCAGTGTAGAGTTCATATAGTAGGCAGCTTCAAAATGATTACTTAGCTCAAGTTGAGGAGTGAGATGTGACTACTGCCACATTTCAGTACCTCTCTGGGCCTGATAATTTAAAAGGGGCTCACATTCCTCAAATAAAAAATTTTTTCTTTCTCAGTTACTACAGACTGAGTGAGAGAAGATTCATTGGAAACGGAGAGAAGTTAATGTAAAAATCTTTTCAGAGTTAGAATAGAAAAGTTACCTGTCATAGGCCCAAGGTCACAAAGGTAATCAATGATAAACATAGAGCTAAATCAGATCTTTTGACTGCCATTCAATCAATGTAAAATCAATAGTACATCCACTTAAAAACATGTATCAGAAAGCATTTTTAATCTTTGAAGAAGAATGATTTTGAAAATGTCCCTCAACCTTCAAATCCCTATTGTTATTCATCATTGTATGATGACATATAAAACATTAATTATTCATCATGCATTTAATGTTTAATTGCTGGTTAATAGCTCTTAATATGTTTTAAAGAAATCACCTTATTTGTTTACTTGGAGAATTAATTCCTGTACATCAAGATAAAAATATTCAACTCCAGGAGTTAGACTAAGTTCTCTCCATTTGTTAATGCTAAAGAAGCCTGAAGGCTGGAAGCAAGGGCAGTTCCAGGTTTTATGTGGCCTGAAGTTTATATAATTTCTGAGAGTCCTCTATATGAAGAATTGTACAAAATATGAATATAAAATTATATCTTCAGAAAAAGAAAGGAGATCACAATACGTTACTGGCACCTTGGGGATTCAAGTTCCTTTCTGCTGAAGTCTCTTTAGGCTATTTACTAGAAGTGCTTTGAAGAAGTACAGGCTTGCTTTCCCTTCCTGCTCATAGCTCTAGGCAGTCCTCAACCCTCACAAGGGCCCTTGTAACTGAGGAACCTTAAAGCTTAAATTTCATTTGCTTCTTTTAATAAATTCACCTCTGGTTGTAACCTTTGCTTATCTAATCCAAACCTGCCAAATAATTGTCCAACTTTCTCTTCAAGTTCTGTATTGATCATTAACTCATATCTCAGATAATCTCATTGTTCTTTGATGAGGGGAAATTTCTGTATTACTGTTTTTCATAAATATTACTGGTTTGTCCCTTCTTTCCTATGAAAGCCAATTAAGTATTTATATAAAATTATCAAGTGGTAAGAAGAGTTTATCCCTTAACAAACACCTGAAGATTCTATCTTTGTAATCCACTCCTTCCTTTCATTGCTTCATGTGAGTCTCCATCAATTCTTGCTTGGCCTTTTGCAATATAGTGCTAAGTATTATTACTGGCTCCTATTTCAAGCTTTTTACAAGTCTCATTTTATATTTATACTGCCACTAGAGAAACCTTTTAATAATAAAATTCAAAATGTCACTCTTTCACTTAAAAGCCTCCAATGGCTCCTTATTTTCTTACCCTGATCTACCTCTCCAGCAACTTGTCCTAATATCCCTTGCATTATTGGACTCTGGCCATACTAGCAATTCCCTGGCCTGGCCATCCTGTCTTATTGTGTCTGGAGTTGGTTCCTGCCGGTGGGTTTGTGGTCTCACTGACTTCAAGAATGAAGCCTTCGACCTTCACAGTGAGTGTTACAGCTTTTAAAGGTGGCACGGACCCAAAGAGTGAGCAGCAGCAAGATTTATTGTGAAGAGTGAAACAACAAAGCTTCCACAGTGTCGAAGGGGACCCGAGCGGATTGCCACTGTTGGCTGGGTTGTCCAGCTTTTATTCCCTTATTTGTCCCTGCCCATGTTCTGTTTTTGTCTTATCAGAGTGCCTTTTTTTCAATCCTCCCTGCCATTGGCTACTTTGAGGATCTTTCTGATTGGTGCATTTTACAGAGCACTGATTGGTGCGTTTTTACAGAGTGCTGATTGAAGCATTTTACAATCCCCTTGCTAGCTACAGAGTGCTGATTGGTGCATTTTATAATCCTCTCGTCAGACAAAAGTTCTCCAAGTCCCCACTTTACCCAGGAAGTCCAGCTGGCTTCGCCTCTCATTATTACTCTGTGTTCTGTCACATGATGATCTTTCTGCCTTCTTTCGTTTGACATATGGAAAACTACTCATCCTTCAAGTGTAACTTGTCACTTCTGTTAACTCTTTGCAAGTCTTGCAACCCCGGATATGTTAGTCTTTTAATTTTATGTCCCTATAACACTTTTTACATATCTTGACTAATTTATTAGTTTCCCTCAATTGATTAATAGCTTCTTTTATGCCTATTCACTTCTATGCAGCAGCAACTGTTCTCACACCTCTGCACGTATCACGTCATTTGATCCTTACAACAACTCTATGAATTTGCAAGTAGAAACACTGAGATGGAGTGTCAAATTCAAGACTACACAGCTAAAAAGGGTTGGAGATGTGATGTGAACCCAGGCAGTATTATTCCAAAGTATATGCTTTTAATCACTATTCTGTACAAACAAATTGGAATCGCTAGTAAATAGCAGAATAGCTGCTATGTAGCAAGTGCTCAATGAACATTTGGAGATGGAACCAAGGACACAGGACTTTTTAAAACTTCTTCTAGTAGCCAAAATATAGTACAGATTGAATATATTTTATCTCAAATGTTTGAGACCTGAAGTGTTTCAGATTTTAGATTTTTAAAAAGATTTTGAAACATTTGCATTATACTTACTGTTGAGCACCCCAAATCTGAAAATCTGAAAACCAAAATGCTCTAATGAGCATTTGCTTTGAGTATCATGTTGGTTCTCAGAAGAGTTTTGGATTTGTGAGCATTTTTTGGATTTTGGATTTTGGATTTTGCATTTTTATATTTGGGATGCTCAACCTATAATGCTGTTATTTGGAGATACTTATTGCTGGGATCAGTTTTCCTTTCAGTTTTAGTCTTAGAGAGTGTATATTTTTTAGGATATTCATGAAATAACATGTCTGTATTAGTCCATTCTTATGCTGCTAATAAAGACATACCCAAGACTGGGTAATTTATAAAGGAAAGAGGTTTAATTGACTCACAGTTTACCATGGCTGGAGAGGCCTCGAGAAACTTACAGTCATGGTGGAAGGGGAAGCAAACACATCCTTCTTCACATGGCAGCAGCAAGGAGAAATGCTGAGCAAAAGGGGGAAAGCCCCTTATGAAACCGTCAGATCTCATGTGAACTCGCTCACATCACAAGAATAGCATGAGGATAAACATCTCCATGGTTAAATTACCTCCCACCAGATCCCTCCCATAGCATGTGGGAATTATAGGAACTACAATTCAAGATAAGATTTGGGTGGGGACACAGCCAAATCACATAAAAGGCTTTTTCAAGTTTTATCTTACTTTCAGTCTTTTATGGAGGAAGGGCTAATGACAGTTCTGCATTGCTTGTTATTATTTAAACATACAGACCACAATACAGTGACGCAAGGTGACTAAATTTATTTTTCGTCTTCCTAGTCTTTTGATCAAGCAAATGCACAGCTTTTATGGTGAGCCACGATCACAAACATGTTATCAGGAAGAGGCAGATTTACTATGGAAAGAGAGATTAACTCCTTTGGGGAGGCAGGCACCATTTGGTAAATTGCCTTATCCAGGGCTCTAAATGATTTCTAAAAAGAAGTGATTTCTCTCACGTAGGTGAACACTTTGTTTTCTAAGAGGATCTTCTCTACCCAGCAAGTCCAGTTATTGTGGGAATTGTTTTAGAAGATGAGATTTTGGAAATGAATAGACTGAGTAGGATGGGAAAGTCATATGACATTTGCTAATTTTCTAGCATAGTAAGATTCTTATTTTTCTCCTTTATTTCCAGGGGCTCTTCATCTTTATTTCCTATTCCAGTGATAGCCACTTGTATGATTACTTATAGGATTTGGGTTTCCTTCTTTTATAGAATCACATAATTGAAAGAGGCTGCAGAGGGCCACTTGCAAGGACCACCTGACCCAATGTACCTATTCTAATGGGCATTTCAATTAACATTTTTAGTTACATGTTGTTCTTTGTCTCACTCCTGGATAACTTAAGATAGTTTTCAGATAAGACTCTTCTGTGTAAGGCATCTGGAGAAAGAAATGCATCAAACAGACACTTTTAGAATAGAGAAAGAAAAATAAATTATTTTATGTAGTTTTTCTTTCTGAAAATAGAAAGCTTACAAATTTTTTGTAGAGGGAAATGTTTTTTACAGGATCTTCTTTATATTCTTGGAATAAAGAAGAAAATACAGACAAAATAAAGAAGAAAAGCAGATACCCTCATTATTCTGAAAATCAACTTATAATATAAGTTTAATAGAAAATAAGCCAACATTTAAATGACAAGAATTTTTACATATGCAGTTTAAGTTTACTGAAATCTCAAAATAACTGTCAATGGATGAACAGAAAAATTAATTTTCACAATTAAAGATCCATTATTGAAGATTCTTATGGCTTTTCATTTTGACCCGTTTATGTTTCTTTTAGTGTAGATATAATAATAATTTGTTGTATTAGTCTGTTCTTACATTGCTGCAAATAAATATATGAGATTGGGCAATTTATGAAGAAAAGAGTTTTATCTTGGCTCATAGTTCTGTAGGCTATACAGGAAGTAAGGTACCAGCATCTGCTTCTGGTGAGGGTTTCTGCAGCAATCATGGCAGAAGGTAAAGGGGAAGCCAGCACATCATATGGTGAGAGTAGGAGCCAAAGAGAGAGAAATGGTGAGATGCTACACTCTTTTAAGCAGTAAGACCTTGTGTGAACTAACTGTGTGAGAACTCACTTCTCACCAAGGGGATAATGCTAAACCATTCATGAAAGATCCTCCCTTATGACCCATCACCTCCTACCTCTCCCCACCTCTAACATTGGGAATCACATTTCAACATGAGATTTGGAGGGGATAAACATCCGAACCATATCACCCACTTTTACATAGCATCTTATGGTTTACTCTGGGCATCCTTCCATCATTTCTTCATCCATCCCAATAGCACTTGATGTTTTGGATTGAAGTTATCTACTTTTGTGACTATTGCTCCAGCTTGATCGTTAGCTTCATGATAGCAAGGACTGATATATTCGCATTTGTATTCTGGTTCCCTGAACTAAGTCTGGCCTGAAATAGAGCTTTAATATATTACCTCAATGACTCTGTAACTTATTTTACTTAACAACTTTTGAGGTTAGCTTTTATGTATACATTTGCTCAACAGAGATTTATTGAATATCTAGTTAGGCCAGACACTACTACAGGTGCTGCCGATATAACAATAAACAAAACAAGAAAGATTCTTTTCCTCAAAGAACGTACATTCTTACTAGAGGGGATAGAAATAAACAATAGTCATAGTAAATAAGTAATTTTAATAATATACTTCGATGTAGTGAGTGCTGTGGGAAAACTAGGGCAGGTGAGAGGAATCAGGATGTAGGAAAGGGTATTTGGCATTATTTAATATGGTGGTAAAGTTGGCCTTATTGAGGAAGTGAAATTTGAGCAGTTACTTGAAGGAAGCCAAGTAAAGTGATAATAATAGGAGATGAGGTCAGACACATGAAGAGGGCAGCTCATATAGAATATTTTAAAACTTTGATATTTACTCTGAATAAAATGCTAAGCCACAATGAGATACCATCTCACAAAAGCCAGAATGGCTACTATTAAAAAGTCAGTGGTAGCTTGATGGGGATAGCATTGAATCTACAAATTACTTGGGGATATATGGCCATTTTCACGATATTGATTCTTCCTATCCATAAGCATGGAACATTTTTCCATTTGTATGTGTCCTTTCTTATTTCCTTGAGCAGTGGTGCAGTTGTGAATGGGAATTAACTCATGATTTAGCTCTCTGTTTGTCTATTAATGGTGTATAGGAATGCTTGTGATTTTTGCACGTTGATTTTGTATCATGAGATTTTGCTGAGGTTGCTTATCAGCTTAAGGAGATTTTGGGCTGAGACGATGGGGTTTTCTAAATCTATGATCATGTCATCTGCAAACAGGGACAATTTGACTTCCTCTTTTCCTAATTGAATACCTTTATTTCTTTCTCTTGCCTGATTGCCCTGGAGAGAACTTCCAACACTATGTTGAATAGGAGTGGTGAGAGAGGGCATCCTTGTCTTGTGCCTGTTTTCAAAGGGAATGCTTCCAGTTTTTGCCCATTCAGTATGATATTGGCTGTGGGTTTGTCATAAATAGCTCTTATTATTTTGAGATATGTTCCATCAATACCTAGTTTACTGAGAGTTTTTAGCATGAAGCACTGTTGAATTTTGTTGAATGCCATTTCTGCATCTATTGAGATAATCATGTGGTTTTTGTCATTGGTTCTGTTTATGTAATGGATTATGTTTATTGATTTGCGTATGTTGAACCAGCGTTGCATGCCAGGGATGAAGCCAACTTGATTGTGATGGATAAGCTTTTTGATGTGCTTGTGGATTTGGTTTTCCAGTATTTTATTTTCGCCTGGTTATCTCCATCAAGCTACTATTGGCTTTCTTCACACAATTAGAAAAAAACTAGTTTAAATTTCATACGGAACCAAAAAGGAGCCTGCATAGCCAACACAATCCTAAGGAAAAAGAAGAAAGCTGGAGGCACCACGCTACCTGACTTCAAACTATACTACAAGGCTACAGTTACCAAAACAGCATGGTACTGGTACCAAAACAGATATATAGACCAATGGAACAGAACAGAGGCTTCAGAAATAACTCCACACATCTACAACCATCTGATCTTTGACAAACCTGACAAAAACAAGCAATGGGGAAAGGATTCCCTATTTAATAAGTGATGTTGGGAAAACTAGCTAGCCATATGCAGAAAACTGAAACTGGACCCCTTCCTTACACCTTATACAAAAATTAACTTAAGATGGATTAAAGACTTCAACATAAGACCTAAAACCATAAAAACCCTAGGAGAAAACCTAGGCAATACCTTTCAAGAGATAGGCATGGGCAACGACTTCATGACTAAAACACCAAAAACAATGGCAACAAAAGCCAAAATAGACAAATGGGATCTAATTAAACTAAAGAGCTTCTGCACAGCAAAATCAACTATCATCAGAGTGAACAGGCAACCTACAAAATGGGAGAAAATGTTTGCAATCTATCCATATGACATAGGGCCAAAATCCAGAATCTACAAGGAACTTAAATTTATGAGAAAAAACAAACAACTTCATCAAAAAGTGGGTGAAGGATATTAACAGATACTTCTCAGAAGACATTTGTGTGGCTAACAAATATATGAAAAAAGGCTCATCATCACTGGTCATTAGAGAAATACAAATCAAAACCACAATGAGATACCATCTCATGCCAGTTAGAATGGTGATCATTAAAAGGAAACAACAGACGCTGGAGAGGATGTGGAGAGATAGGAACGCTTTACACTGTTGGTGGGAGTGTAAATTAGTTCAACCATTGTGGAAGACAGTGTGGCAATTCCTCAAGGATCTGGAACCAGAATACCATTTGACCCAGCAATCCCATAACTGGGTACATACCCAAAGGATTATAAATCATTCTACTATTAAGACACATGCACGTTTATGTTTATTGTGGCACTGTTCACAATAGCAAAGACTTGGAATCAACCCAAATGCCCATCAATGATAGACTGGATAAAGAAAATGTGGCATATATACACCATAGAATACTATGCAGCCATAAAAAAGGATGAGTACATGTCCTTTGAGGGGACATGCATGAAGCTGGAAACCATCATTCTCAGCAAACTAACACAGGAACAGAAAACCAAACACCACATGTTCTCACTCATAAGTGGGAGCTGAACAATGAGAACACATGGACACAGGGAGGGGAACATCACACACCAGAGCCTGTTGGGGCTGGGGGGCTAGGGGAGGGATAGCATTAGGAGAAATACCTAATGTAGATGACGGGTTGATGGGTGCGGCAAACCACTATGGCATGTGTATACCTATGTAACAAACCTGCACATTCTGCACATGTATCCCAGAACTTAAAGTATAATTGAAAAAATTTTTAAAAATTAAATAAAAAGTCAAAAAATAATAGATGCTAGTGAGGATGCATAGAAAAGAGAATGGTTATACACTGTTGGTGAAAAAGTAAATTAGTGCAATCTCTATGGAAAACAGTATGGAGATTTCTCAAAGAATTAAAAATAGAGCTACCACTGAATCTAGTAATCCCATTCCTGAGTATCTACCCAAATGAAAAGAAATAATTTCATCAAAAATAAACCTGTAGTTGTATGTTTATTGCAGCATTATTTACAATAGCAAAGATAATGGAATCAATCCAAGAGTCCATGAATGGATGATTGGACAAAGAAAATGTGATGTGTAAATATTTGTGTGTGTATATGTATAGATATATATATATGTGTGTGTGTGTATATATATATATATATATATATATGTAAATACTACTCAACTATAACAAACAGTAAAGTCATGTCTTTTGTAGCAGCATAGATGGAACTGGAGACCATTATCTTAAGTGAAATAACTCAGAAACATAAAGTCAAACACCTCTTGTTTTCATTTATAAGTAGGAGCTAAATAATGTGTATACATGGACATTCTCCAATGTATAGGATAATAGATATTGGAGAATTATAAGAGTGGATGCTTTGGAGGGGGACGAGAGAAAATAAATTACTTAATCAGTACAATCTACATTATTTAGGTGATGGCTACACTGAAAATCCAGACTTCATCCCTATGCAATATATCCATGTTACAAAACTGCTCTTGCACCCTAAAATCTATTTTAAAATATCAGGCAATCAAGCAGGAGTACCTGGATTCGTATTCAGTTTCTGTGAATTACTTCCTTAGCTTTATGACCTTAAGTAAATTATTTAATCTCTCAGTATTTCAGTTTCCACGTACTAAAATGAAATGACTAACACAGTCTACGTCTTGGCATAGTCATGATATTTAAATATATTAAGTTAATTTGGCAATTAGAAGAGTGTTTAGAGAGTGCAGTTAGGAGTGTTTGGCATATGGTAAAAACTATGTAGTTATTCGTGGTTAAAATCCATTTAGAAGTAAAGCCAGGCACAGTGGCACATGCCTGTATTCCCAGCTACTCTGTAGGCTGAGGTAGGAGATCCCTTGAACTCAGGAGTTTGTGTCTAGCCTGAGCAATATACAAATACCCTATCTCTTAAAAAAAAATGAGGAGACTTTTCTAAGCAGAAATTTTACATTGTTCCTCCTTTGTACAAGACTCATAATTTCCTTTTTAGTTTCTGCAAAGAATTATCCTAAAAATACAGTATTTCTTTTTTGCTTGAAAGTCTTTTATTGATCAACATATTATGCTTTTTCACAACAAAATCTGTTTATGTATGTGTGTGTATATATATGTATATGGTATATATAAATATTCAAAGAATTTTTTCTTAATACATAAAAGCTACTGAATAAAACAATTTGCTTGGATTAGTTTATTACAGCTACTATTAGTATGTAACTGATCAAATAATGTGGATATATTACTATTTTTGATACTTATAAAACATTAAAAATAAAATGATCAAAAATGAATCTGTCAATGAATTGTATAGAACTATCTATGTTAATGAATTGCTAAATAAGACAAGGTGTTAACATGAGAAAAGGTGCCGTGGAAATTAATAGCAAAAATAAACTTTTCAGCCCCTGTAAGCTTGGAGTTTACAAAAGGCACATCAGTTATTGTTAAGTGCAGTCTTTTAAAATGAAATCCATAGGATATTCTCACTGAGTTATCTAAATTGATGAAAACATGTTAGGAATGAATAAAAGAACAGAGAAATAGGTGACAAATAGCAATGAAGAGTAGGCTTATGTCCAGTGAATTTACAATATCTTTTTGCAAAGATAAAAAATGTTTCTCCTATGAGCCTGAATACATAAAAAAATACAAACCATTAATTTACATTTAATATACGTTACTTTTACTTGAAGACATAACACTGAATTGTTGGAGGCAACTATATATTACTTCTGAATGTATGCTACTACTAATAGTTAATGTTATTGAATGTTTGTTCTGTGCTTAGGACACTACTCCACATGCTTTTAGGTCAAGTTGTTTAATTCAACCCTAAGAAGAAGGTGCTGTCATTATTCATCTTTTAAAGATGAAAAAACTAAAGCACAAAGAAAGTAAGAAACAAGAAACATACTCAAGATAACCCAGATACTAAGTGGTAGAGCTGAGATTCAATCCAAGTGGTCTAACCCAAAGCCCATATTCTTCTTTTTAAAAAAATTGTACACATTTAAGATGTACAGCTTTCTTTTTTCATATACATACATTAGTGAAATGGTTTCTATAATCATGAAAATTGTCATATCTGTTATCTCACAGTTACTTTTTTTGGTGGTAAGAGCTACTAAAATCTACTCTCAGCAAATTTTCAATATGCAATATTATTAACTATAGTCCTCATGTTATACATTACATCTCTAGACTTATTCATCCTACATAACTGCAACTTTTTATATTTTTGATCTTTATCTCCCCATTCTTCATTCCCTGCCCCCACCCCCATCTCTGGTAACTGCCATTCTACTCTTTGTTTCTATATATTCAACTTTTAAAAAGACGATTCCATATATAAGTGAGATCATGCAGTATTTTTCTTTTTGTGTCTAACTTATTTTACTTAACCAAGGTGTCTGTTGATAGATGAATAGTTAACAAAATTATGGGGTATTATTCAATGGAATATTATTCAGCCTTTAAAAAGGAGATCTTACCCTTTGGAACAACATGGATGAACCAGAGCCCATATTCCTAACCATCCTTATCATATTTTGCCTTAATATTGTACCATATTATTAACAATTATTTCATGTTCAATTTAATATCTACCTGGTTTTATATTATATGGCATAACTATAATTTACTATTTGACAAATACTCTTCTAGCTATTTATATAAATTCAGTCACTTAATACTCACAATAACCCTGTGAAAAAAGTACTATCATCCCATTATAGTCAGTAAATTGAGGCACATAAAAATGAATTAATTTTTCCAAAGAAACAAAGCTATTAAGTGATAGAGACAGATTTACAGCTCATGTTGTCTGGCTTTACAGTCCCTGTATGTAACCATTATACTGTGCGTAATACTTATTTCAAAAAATGCATGTAAAAGGGAAACACTAAATTTAAGATAGCTGTTATTTCTGGGACATTCCAAGGGAAAATGAGATAGTGGAGAGGTATAAGTATTTTTTAAAATTATTAAAGTACTGTGTAACTGAACAACATTAAACTGAACATATTTAAAGTGTAAAATTTGATGTATTTTGACATATGCATACACTTAGGAAACTGTCGCCACAATCAAGAGAGCAAATATATCCAGCGCCTGCAAGATTTCTCAGGCTCCTTCATAATATATCCCCCTTTCTACCCAGATAAACACTGATCATTGCTTTCTATCCATAAATGTGAATTTGCATTTTCGTGAATAAATGGAATTCATTATGTACCTTGTTTTGTGTGACCTTTTTATTTTGACATAATGATTTGAGATTGATCCATGTTGTATGTATTGATAATTCATTTCTTTTTCTTGCTTAGCACTATTTCATTGTACAAATATGTGTTTATCCATTCAACCTACTGAAAGGCATTTAGGTTGTTTCCAGTTTTCAGCTATTACAAATAAAGTTTCTATGAACATTTATTTACAAGTCTTAGTGTAAACACAATTTTTAATTTTTTTCTTGGTTAGATATCTATGACCAGCTAGGTCATATAATTGGTGTACATTTACCTTTATGAGAAATTATCAAATGGTTTTGCAAAGTGATCGTCCTTTTACATTTTCACTGGAAACGTATGAAACTTCTAGTTGCTTCACATCCTTGTTATCGCTTGGTGGGGCCAAATTTTCTATTGTTTATTATGTTTTTATTTTTTAGCTATTCTATGGGTGTGCAGTAGTATTCCTTTGTGGTTTTAATATGCATTTTTCTGATAATAAGTGATGTGTAGTAACATTTTATATGCTTCCTGGCAACTCATAAATCTTGTTTTCTTTTTCTGAGTGTTTAGATCTTTTGCTTATTTTTTAATTTTAATTTAATTTTTTGCTTCATAAGAGTTCTTTGTATATTCAAGATACACGTTCTTTTTCTGTGTAACAAGTATCTTCTGTTAGTCTGTGTCTTTGTTTTTCATTTCTTAATACTGCCTTTCAGAGAACTAAAGAGGTAAAGTGATTTTTGGTATCTGTTTATGAAGTTCAGTTTATTAGTTTTTTAAAATATAGTTTATGCTTTTTATGTTCTTTCTAAGAAATCTTTGCCTACTCAAAGGTCACAAAGAATTTTCTATTATATATATTTTTTAAAAATTTTAAATTATTTATTCATTTTTGTTTTATTATTATACTTTAAATTCTGGGATACATGTGCAGAACGTGCAGGTTTATTACATAGGTATATATGGGCCATGGTGGTTTGCTGCACCCATCAACCTGTCATCTACATTAGGTATTTCTCCTAATGCTATCCCTCCCCTTGCCCCACAACCTCCAACAGGCCCAGTGTGTAATGTTCCCTTCCCTGTACCCATATGGTCTCATTTTTAAACTCCCACTTATGAGTGAAAACTTGCGGTGTTTGGTTTTCTGTTCCTGTGTTAGTTTGCTGAGAATAATGGTTTCCAGCTTCATACATGTCCCTTCAAAGGACATGAACTCATCCTTTTTATGGCTGCATAGTATTCCATGGTGTATATGTGCCACATTTTCTTTATCCAGTCTACCATTGATGGGCATTTGGGTTGGTTCCAAGTCTTTGCTATTGTGAACAGTGCCTCAATAAACATATGTGTGCATGTGTCTTTATAGTAGAATTATTTATAATCCTTTTGGTATATATCCAGTAATGGGATTACTGGGTCAAATGGTATTTCTGGTTCCAGATCCTTGAGGAATTGCCACACTGTCTTCCACAATGGTTGAACTAATTTACACTCCCACCAACAGTGTAAAGCGTTCCTATTTCTCCACATCCTCTCCAGCATCTGTTATTTCCTGACTTTTTAATGATTGCCATTCTAACTGGCATGAGATGGTATCTATTTTGGTTTTGATATTCATTGTCTAATGCCCATTGATGATGAGCTTTTTTTCATATGTTTGTTTGCTGCATAAATGTCTTCTTTTGAGAAGTATCTGTTCATATCCTTCGGCCACTTTTTGATGGGGTTCTTTGTTTTTTTCTTGTAAATTTGTTTAAGTTCCTTGTAGATTCTGGATATTAGCTTTTTGTCAGATGGATAGATTGCAAACATTTTCTCCCATTTTATTCACTCTGATGGTAGTTTCTTTTGCCGTACAGAAGCTCTTTGGTTTAATTAGATCCCATTTATCAATTTTGGCTTTTGTTGCCATTGCTTTTGGTGTTTGCCATTGCTTTTGTTGCCATTGCTTTTGGTGTTTTAGTCATGAAGTCTTTGCCCATGTCTATGTCCTGAATGGTATTTCCTAGATTCTCTGGCTTGAAATTCTCGCTGCCAACAGAGCAATCTGAAGTTGTCCTGGGACACTTGAGCTTGGTGGGGAAAGGGCCGTCCACCATGCTGAGGCTTGTGTAGGTGGTTTTTCCCTCACAGTATAAACACAGCCTCCGGGAAGTTCAGACTGGGCAGAGCCCACCGCAGTGCTACAAAGCTGCTGTAGCCAGACTGCCTCTCTAGATTCCTCCTCTCTGGGCAGGGCATCTCTGAAAGAAAGGCAGCAGCCCCAGTCGGGGGCTTATAGATAAAACTCCCATCTTTCTGGGACAGAGGTCCTGGAGGAAGGGGCAGCTATGGCCACAGCTTCAGCAGATATAAACCTTCCTGCCTGCCAGCTCTGAAGAGAGCAGCAGATCTCCCAGCACAGCACTTGAGCTCTGCTAAGAGACAGAGTGCCTCCTCATTTGGGTCCCTGACCACCGTGCCTCCTGCATGAGAGACACCTCACAGCAGGGGTCGATAGACACCTCATACAGTAGAGCTCTGGCTGGCATTTGGCAGGTGTCGCTCTGGGAGAGGAAGGTTCTAGAGGAAGGAGCAGGCAGCAATCTTTGCTGTTCTGCAGGCTCCTCTGGTGATACCCAGGCAAACAGCGTCTAGAGTGGACCTCCAGTATACTCAAGCAGAGCTTCAGAATAGGGGCCTGACTGTTAAAAGGAAAACTACAAACAGAGAGCAATAGCATCAACATCAGCATAAAGGATGCCCATGCAAAAATCCCATCCAAAGGTCACCAACATGAAAGAGTAAATGTAGATAAATCCATGAAGATGAGGAAAAACCAGTGCAAAAAGGCTGAAAATTCAAAAAACTGAATGTCTCCTCTCCTCCAAAGGATCACAACTCCTCGCCAGCAAGGGAACAAAACTGGATGGAGAATGAGTTTGATGAATTGACAGAAGTAGGCTTCAGAAGGTAGGTAATAACAAACTCTTCTGAGCTAAAGGAGCATGTTCTAACCAATGCAAGGAAGTTAAGAACCTTGATAAAAGGTTACAGGAGCTGCTAACTAGAATAACCAGTTTAGAGAAGAACATAAATGAACTGATGGAGATGAAAAACACAGGACGAGAACTGTGTGAAGCTTATACAAATATCAATAGCCAAATTGATCAAGCAGAAGAAAGTATATCAGATATTGAAGCTCAACTTAATGAAATAAAATGTGAAGACAAGATTAGAGTAAAAAGAATGAAAAGGAATGAATAAAGCCTTCAAGAAATATGGGACTGTGTGAAACAACCAAACTTACATTTGATTGGTGTACCTGAAAATGAGGGGGAGAATGGAACCAAGTTGGAAAACACTCTTCAGGATATTATCCAGGAGAACGTCCCCAACCTAGTGAAACAGGTCAACATTCAAATTCTGGAAATACAGAGAACACCACAAAGATACTTCTCAAGAAGAGCAACCCCAAGACACATAATCGTCAGATTCATCAAGGTTGAAATGAAGGAAAAAATGTTAAGGGCAGCCAGAAAGAAAGATTAGGTTACCTACACAAGGAAGCCCATCAGACTAACAGGGGATGTCTCTGCAGAAACCCTACAAGCCAGAAGATAGTGGGGGCCAATACTCAACATTCTTAAAGAAAAGAATTTTCAACTCAGAATTTCATATTGGCCAAACTAAGCTTTATAAGTGAAGGAGAAATAAAATCCTTTATGGACAATCAAATGCTGAGGAATTTTGTCACCACCAGGCCTGCCATACAAGAGCTCCTGAAGGAAGCACTAAATATGGGAAGGAAAAACCGGTACCTGCCACTGGAAAACCATACCAAAATGTAGAGACCATCGACACTATGAAGAAACGGCATCCACCAGTAGTCAAAATAACCAGCTAGGATCATAATGACAAGATCAAAATCACATATTACAATACTAACCTCAAATGTAAATGGGCTAAATGCCCCAGTTAAAAGACACAGATTGGCAAATTAGATAAAGGGTCAAGATCCATCTTTGTGTTATATTCATGAGACCCAACTCATGTGCAAAGACACACATAGGCTCAAAATAAAGGGATTTAGGAATATGTACCAACCAAATGATAAGCAAAAAAAAAAAAAAAAAAAAAGCAGGGGTTGCAATCCTAGTCTCTGATAAAACAGACTTTAAGTCAACAAAGATAAAAAAGATAAAGAAATGCATTACATAAGGGTAAAGGGATCAACGCAACAAGGGAGTTAACTATCCTAAATATATATGCATCCAATACAGTAGCACCCAATTCTTAAAGCAAGTTCTTAGAGACCTACAAAGAGACAGACTCCCACACAGTAATAGTGGGAGACTTTAACACCCCACTGTCAATATTAGACAGATCAACGAGACAGAAAATTAATAAGGATATTCAAGACTTGAACTCAGCTGTGGACCAAGCAGACCTAATAGACATGTACAGAACTCTCCACCCCAAATCAACAGAATATACATTCTTCTCAGCACCACATAACAGTTATTCTAGAATTGCCCACTTAATTGGAAGTAAAACACTCCTCAGCAAATGCAAAAGAACAGAAATCATAAGAAACAGTCTTTCAGACCACAGTGCAATCAAATTAGAGTTCAAGATTAAGATACTCACTCAAAACCATACAACTACATGGAAACTGAACAACCTGCTCCTGAGTGACTACTGGGTAAATAAAATTAGGGCAGAAATAAAGAAGTTCTTTGAAACCAATGAGAACAAAGAGACAACGTACCAGCATCTCTGGGACACAGCTAAAGCAGTGTTTAGAGGGAAATTTATAGCACTAAATGCCCTCATGAGAAAGTAGGAAAGATCTGAAATCGACACCCTAACATCACAATGAAAAGAACTAGAGAAGCAAGAGGAAAGAAATTCAAAAGCTAGCATAAGACAAGAAATAACTAATATCAGGGCAGAACTGAAGGAGATAGAGATGAAAAACCCTTCAAAAAATCAATGAATGTAGTAGCTGGTTTTTTGAAAAGATTAACAAAATAGATAGACCGCTGGCCAGACTAATAAAGAAGAAAAGAGAGAAGAATACAAAAAACACAATAAAAAATGATAAAGGGGATATCACCACTGACCCCACAGAAATACAAACTACCATCAGAGAATAATTTAAACACCTCTATGCAGATAAACTAGAAAATCTAGAAGAAATGGATGAATTCCTGGACACAACACCCTCCCAAGACTAAACCAGGAAGAAGTCAGATCCCTGAATTAGACCAATAAAATGTTCTGAAGTTGAGGCAGTAATTAAGAGCCTACCAACCAACAAAAGTCCAGGACTAGACAGATTCACAGCCGAATTCCACCAGAAGTACAAAGAGGAACTGGTACCATTCCTTCTAAAACTATTTCAAACAATAGAAAAACAGGGACTCCTCTGCAATTCATTTTATGAGTCCAGCCTCATCTTGATACCAAAACCTGGCAGACACGACAAAAAAACAAAAAGAAAATTTCAGGCCAATATCCCTGATTAACATAGATGGGAAAATCCTCAATAAAATACTGGCAAACTGAATCCAGCAGCACATTGAAAAGCCTATCTGCCACGATCAAGTTGGCTTCATCCCTGGGATACAAGGCTGGTTCAACATACGCAAATCAATGAACATAATCCATCACATAAACAGAACCAATGACAAAAACCACATGATTATATCAATAGATGCAAAAGGCCTTCGATAAAATTCAACACCCTTTCATGGTAAAAAAAAAACACTCAATAAACTAGGTAATGATGGAATGTATCTGAAAATAATAAGAGCAATTTATGACAAACCCACAGCCAATATCATACTGAATGACCAAAAGCTGGAAACGTTATCTTTGAAAACTGGCACAATACAAGGATGCCTTCTCTCACCACTCCTGTTCAACATAGTATTGAAAGTTCTGGCTAGGGCTATCAGGCAAGAGAAAGAAATAAAAAGGGTATTCAAATAGGAAGAGAGGAAGTCAAATTGTCTCTGTTTGCAGATGACATGGCTGTATATTTAGAAAATCCCCTCATCTGGCTAGGGCTATCAGGCAAGAGAAAGAAATAAAGCGTATTCAAATAGGAAGAGAGGAAGTCAAATTGTCTCTGTTTGCAGATGACATGGCT